>NC_000004.12:113163805-113315320 GCF_000001405.40 Homo sapiens
TATGGAGATATATTCCCATATCATACAATTCACCCATTTATAGTATATTATCCAATGGTTTTTAGTATGTTCACAGAGTTGTGCGACCAACACCACAATAAATTTCAGAACATCTTTATCACTCAAGAAAGGAACTTTGTAACCATCAATAGTCATTCTCCATTTCTCTACCCCCTCCCCCTTGTCCTCCCCATGGCATCCTTTGGCCCCAGGCAATCACTTACCAGTTTTTCATCTCTGTATGTTTGTCTATTCTGGACATTTCTTTTATATCAACAATAAGCTTAAATAACAGTTTAATAAAAGGGACTAGGCTGGGTGCGGTGGCTCACACCTGTAATCCCAGCACTTTGGGAGGCCAAGGCGGGAGATATTTAGGCAAGTAGAGTCAGATGGTCACAGTGTGGTTAAGCTATAATTAAGTGATATCTCCTAGGAAAATCAATCACATATGTATATATATTAGACTGTTACAAATGAAAAACCAGTGTTTCCACGTGCATCTTCATGGGGCCACACTAAGATCAACAGTGTGAGAAAATGTACCATGATAGAAAAATATATGCAAGTTCTTTTAAAATAGTCTCCGTAGTTTAAGTAATTGTGAAGTTTTAAGAATCTATTTTTTGTTCAATCCTGAATAATTTAATACTAAACAAGCAATCTACTTTTTAGTGTGTGCAGCCCTTGGGGTGCGGTCAGCACCTCATCTGTGTTGTGTCACGAAGCTGCTTCTGATTGAGTGATGTCTGCTTCAGAGCAGATGGTCTCTGAAGCTGCAGAATAAGGAGACCAATGGGGATAAAAATGTGGTGCCTACCTCAAGGGGGCAAGAGTAAATTAACACTATAAGATGCGGATGCGTAGCATAATGAAAAATTGATGAAAGGTTTTTTTCACTTGGTTGGGTTTGTTTTTCATATCCTGACAGTTCTAAAAGCCTTGAAGGAGGCTAAGACCTAATTCAGGTTCATGTATCCTAATCCTTAAGTATTGCAGTGGGATGAGCTCTAATATATCTTTTTCTCTAAACATCCTGTAATATTTTAACATGCTGATTAGGGAATGAAAAGAGTTTTGTATAGAGAATATTTCTTAAAGAAAGAATTAAATAAACTACTGTTACCAAAGGATCTCAAAAGTTCTCTCTTTTTTCTCTCGACCCAAATGTTGTTATAGGTGGTTGTAATTCATTTATAAAAGCAACTTTTTTTTTGATGACCAGTGATGATCCAAAAGGAAATTCCTTTGGATATTTGTGTACAATATGTAAAAACTCTGTCAGCTTTTCCATGCTTGGGCCTATATTCATTTTGGGGCATGTTGACTTTTAGATGCTGGCAGAACATTTTTTACAGAGCTATCTAGCTAGTTGAAAATTGGGAAAGAGATTGGGTCTGTGATACAAATTGTTTTAAAAATAAGTTTTTCATTATTTTATACCCAATTAATACCAGTTGGAGATCCTAAAGCAATAATTGAGAACTATTTAGAATTCAGTCATATATAGATGCTGTGGGTATTATTAAATATCCAATGTGGAGCTGTAAGATTTGATTATTTCTATTGCTGGCCTGAAGAAGTACAGATTTCCATGTTACTTTGGTTATTAAAAATATTAGGGCAAATTATCTGGAAACCATAATAGTCAACATAGGACTTGTATAATGTTTTGATTTCCTTTACATTGTCAGCATTTTGAACATAAAACAGTAAGCAGAACTTTTCAAATATATCTGTTCAAACAGTATGGTTAGAGGTTGTATGTGGAATTCAACTATGATGTTTTAAGATACCTCCACACCAAGAGGAACCAGTAACAAAAATGAGGGAATCATATTCTTCTAGTTCTTATGTTATTCTCTAGAAGTATGATAGACTCTTTGGGAAGGAATATTAACTTTTGCTACAGAGTTTAATGGCTAAAGAAACTAAGGTGCTTACCTGACTGAAGCAGTAATGTCTTAAATCTGTGTAGCTGAGGCCTCTCAAAGAGTATCTTATTTCTTGAAAAAATCTGAAGCCTTAGATAGGTGTGGTAAGTTTTAACATGGACCTCAAACTGTTATTTAATCTGACATCTGACCTAAAGCTGTAGCAAAATGTTTCCCTGTTACTCTGATTTTCTTAGCAGAAATTTGGAAATGTTGTGATACAAGTCACAAATATTTTCATCTATAAACTTACCATGTTCCTATTCAAATTCAGAAAATACTGACGTGTTCAGTGTTGGAACTTCTGAGTTCTGTAGGCATTTCAGAGTTATCATGCCTGGAGTACAAGTAATCAAAACCTATTGATTTTGTTCCTTACGAGAACTTTAAATTTTAAATTCACCATAAAGTTCAATAGGAAACTAACAGAATAATAAACACCTAAGAAAGTTTTCACCTATCTTTGTTAAAGTTCCCATTTTAGTGAAAGATTTTGTTGCCTCATTGTCATTAACATTTTAGTAACTGGCATAGTTATAGAGACATTTTATGAAGCCAAACTAATATCAACACAACAAAGTTATCTTTTAAGTCACACTTCTATTATGTCATGAAATACCAAATACAGATTTCACATTTCTTCAGTTTAATAATTCTTCAAAAATGAGCGTATATTTACACTCATATAAGTGTGTATGTATATATGTATATATATATATGCATACATACATAAGCACTTTCTAAAGTTTTAAAAGCACATAGAGAATGTGAAGTATGAAATAGTTATCAAATAGTTATCAAAGATATTTCATCAGAAATATCTTTTCTAGTTTGTGGTTTTTGTTCCTACTAGTTTTTGTTTTTTTGGTTTTTTTCTTTTTGGTAGTAATTCTCATTCACTGGAGGATAGCATCACATTATTAATATTTTGATTCAATTTTCAGAAAAGTAAATGCCATAAAAAAATGAGTATTCAGAACTTTTTAATGTATAAAATTGTCTCTGATAACTTACTTCACTTATATTTATCCCGGAAAATTTAACAACTGAGATCTCTGAACCAGATCTGGTCTTCTTGAATTTGTAGTAAACATGTTGAAGAACAGGGGAGTAATGCTATTTATACAATATATACCAAGGATAATAATTCATGTATAATCAAAGAGAATTATGCAATTTTTGTAATTACAAAGCCTCATGAATATCAGAACAACTAATAAAAAATTATCCAGAGTTTGATTCTTAGTAAGCATTCTTTTGAGCTAAAGAACAAAACTCTATGTATTTAGTAATCTGCATTGTCTCTTAGACTGTACCATAAATATACAATACAAATTTCATTAAAAATATCACATAATATAGTCTGCATTTAAAAATTGCCTCCAGTGTGAAAAAAAGATAATGCTTTTGAATACTAATTTTTAAACCTATTTACTTCTCTGTGATTTTTGTAATCAGTTTATAAATTAGGAATAACTTATTTTTCAGGACTACTCACATTTAGCTAATTTTTAAATTTTTTATAAAGATGGGTTCTCACTCTGTTGCCTAAACTAGGGTCACCTTTTTTTTTTTTTTGGAAACAGAGTTTCGCTCTTGTTGCCCAGGCTGGAGTGCAGTGGTGATCTTGGCTCACTGCAACCTCTGCCTCCCGGATCCGAGCGATTCCCCTGCCTCAGCCTCCCAAGTAGTTGGGATTACAGGTGTCTGCCACCGTGACTGGCTAATTTTGTGTTTTTAGTAGAAATGGGGTTTCACCATGTTGGTCAGGCTGGTCTCAAACTCCTGATCTCAAGCAATCCACCCTCCTCAGCCTCCCCAAAGTGCGGGGATTACAGGTGTGAGCCACTGCGCCCGGCCAGGTCACCATCTTTTAAAGTAAATATTTTATTTAATTATAGCACACATACAGAAAAATGCATAAATTATAAATGCTCATCTTGATATGTAGGAAGTGTACATACCTGTTAAACTGCACCCAGAACTAGAATGTAGAATTAGAACATTATCAGCAACCAAAAGCCCCTTTCTGATTGTTTCCGAAACTACTACTGATTTCTAACACTATGGATTTGTTTTGCCAGTTTTTGAACTTTAATAAATGGAATAAAAGACATGTCCTTTTTTGTGTCTGACTTGTTTTGCTTAGCATTATCTTTGTGAGATCTATTGATGGTGCATATAGATATGGTTCATTCATTCCTATTCCCACTGCTGTAAAATATTCCAATTTTACTCTCTTTTAAAATACAAGAATTTTAGAAAGGAATTCATGAATCTTGACACAACCTTGCAAAATAATCTTAATTAATGCTTTGAAAGAGATAGAATTGGTATGCTGTAGGTGGTTCTTATTTTTCATGGTTGGTATCTTAGGGAAAGCGTTGATAAGTGATATAATTTAGCTAGTGTGCTAGCAAAAATTAGTGTTAAAATGTAATACTAAGTTAAAGGAAAAATTGCTGTCTTTATTTAAAAAGGAAATTTCAAATAATCTCTCACTTAAAATATTTAGGTAGAATTTATCTGTTTAGTTAAACTTAGATATTGTTATGATTCCAATTCTCAATTTTGTGTGAATAGTTATCTTAAATAACATTCAAAAGTAAAAATATAAACACTTAAGTTTACTCTTTCTTCTTCCCCTAACTAAAGCATTTATAGAGTTCACTTTTATGTCTGAACCAATTTTCTTAACACAAAGGCCATTGGATTAAGAACACTCTTTTGAGAAGTTGCATTTACTCTCTCTGAAGATTAGGGGACCTGTCAGTAATTTTCATTTAGTAGCAATCTAAAGAGCTGTTGAAGGACACCATATATGTAGGTTAACCTGCATGTTTGAGCCAGAGTGTACAAATTTATGGTTTATAAATTGGTAGCAGCTGAATAGAAATTGTCAAGTGGGATTTTGCAGTGTAAAGTGTTTTATATCACTTATGTGTTCTGACTGCAAGAAAGTAACTTCTGCAATTCTTTCTAAAAAATCCTAGTATATCCAGCATGCAGTTCTTGGCTGAACCCAAATTGTTGGTTTCGACAAGACAGCAATAATAATGTGAGCTAATGAAAGAGCTGAATTAATTAAACAATAGAGCAGTCCTTGGACAGAAGTATAAATCTGTAGGTACAAGCATTCAGATATCACAAAGAGAGTTCTCTGCAGCATCTTCATCACTGGTGACAGACCACACCCAGTTCTGGTTCATTTTGTCCTTTTATACCTGTACATCTCAGTGTATTTTTAAGTACTCTGGTGTAGCTTAGGCCTGCTGGCAACACAGTAACGCCAGGAATCTTCACATTTAAAAAAAGTCATGTGTGTGCATCGATAATTTGATTTATTATTGTTATTTTGCATTTATCCCTCACAAGAAAAGCCACTAATATAAAACAAACTCAGTAAGTGTCCTCTGTGCCTGTCAGTGGGGTAAGCATGCTCAAATCATCATATTTTTTCCTTAGCAATTCTATAAAGTACATTTATTTTTTTGATAAGGAAATTGAGACATACAATGACCCAAGATCGGACAAGTCACAATTTGCTAGACATGGATTTTAACTTATCCTACATGCCTAGGAAGAGACCTAAAAAATTGTAAAAATGTCCCTTATTTTCCTGGTATTCTTATTAAAGTTTTTCCCTTCAAGTTACTTTACTAGGTTTTATTTATTTTGTATTGCTATAAAAACGCAGATCTCAGAGTAGCCAGGTAAATGACCCTGTTTTTACAAAGGAATGACTGCTTCCTAAGAAAATAAGCAGATTCCTCAAATTCCACAAGGAGCCTGTGCTTTACGTAAGGTTAGCCAGTCAGCAAATATGTGTGTAGGGCGCACCATAAGCCAGAGACTGTGACGGGGGAGGTGTTCAGTGTCACTCTTTTAAGGCTAGTAGGGACTGCTGGTTGGGTCACCGTTTTAGACAAGTGGTTCTCAAACTTGAATAGTCTATTGATTTCTTTTAAAGTATATAAAAAATTATGACCTCCAGTGTTATTTTTATTATAGTGTTAAGTATTAAAAACATAAAGCCACATAAAACTTCTTAAATTCTTGTGCCACTATAAAAAAGAAACTTTGACAAATTAAGTAAAACTTATGTAAGTTTTATAATATTATTCAAATAAAGGGCATAAATTTAATACAATGAATGGAAATGTCTGAAACTAAATTTAACATATTGTGCTTAGTAATAAAAAAAGAAATAACCTCAGAGTTCTGTATTTAGTTTCTGAATTTGACTCCAGTAAAAATAATATAAAGAATACCTTTTTTGTAAGTATGTTGTACAAACTATTCTTAATAACTTTAAGGTGTTGTTTCCTACTTCAAGCTAATAAAACTTATAGCTATCAGAGAATAGCTTTAAGAGAATATAATCTTTGAAAGCTCTCTTTATTTGCTTGGAGAGGAAATTACTATTGGGATAGAATTGTGTACGCAAACCAATAAAAGCTAAAATTGAAAACTGAAAAAATGTTTCACTGTGGATTTTCTATTACACTCACTGCTAATGGTCAGTGCACGTTGGACTATATGAAGATAGCATCTGAGCATATGTTAATATGCTACTGACTGCTGCTGCTCAGGCACTTTTGGCTCGTCATGTCCTGCCATGTATGATGAACAGATTCTCTGACCATTCTTGTCTCTGTACTACAGCAAAATGTTCTGTCTATTATGCATCTGTATATCATTTGGACTTCACTTGTTATGTACTGAGTTATAAACACAAAGACATATACCGAAGTTATATGTTTATACTCACATATAGGGTAGCCATGTAGAGGACCTGGAATATGCTAATATTTTCTTTATTAGGTTATTATTGAAACGTAAGCACAGAATTAAAGAATTAAAAAACTTGTAGCAAGCTCATGGGCCCCTGTGGACATGCCCCTAGAGCCTTTGGGTCAGCACTCCTTGGGGATATAATGTGGCTCTATGAATGCACATTCCTCCCTGCCTTTCATGTCCACACTGCTGGGTGCTAAGAAAGTTGTTCTGTGTTTCTAATATTCAGATACAAGACAACATACAGAACTGTGTCAAGAATAATTTAATGGGAAATTTTTCTTTCTTGGCCTGAGATGTCACTCCAGGGTTATAAAGGGGGCAAGTTTTAATGACATCCATCTGTTGCAGATTAAAATAGGTGGGGCTCAGCATTGGAATTCCTTGTCCAGAGTTTGACTATGGGCATCAGCACAATTTGTTTTAGGATTTGAGAGTCCTAGGGACATAAAGCAGCAAAGCAGGGAGAGGATAGTCTTACATTTGTCTGAGACTTTCTTCCAAAGAAGTTGCTTTTGCCTCATTTTCTCTTTATTTTGCTTTTATGTGTGAAATCTCCTGGTTGAGCAAAGAAAACAGTCTATTTTAAAAGCATGCTTTTCCTCCTACTTATACTTGATTTTAGAACTCTTGCTTTTATCATAATCAGTTGGGAAACACAGCATGGTAAAAATTGCTGTATCTCTCTCCCTGAATGTTTGAATCCTCTTTCATCTCTGTGTTGATTGAAGATAACCAGGCTAACCACTGTTTATCCAAAGCGCTTGTGTCAAGGGCCTTAATCACAGATTGACCTCATTGTAGGGTACGATGTGCTTGTGTCTATGTGGAAGGGAGAGAAGAATATGTATTTCTATGCAGGTATATAAATTTGGGCTTCAATAATGTCAATATTCATACATAACTTTTAAAACCTCATTTTATTTCTGTCTTTGGAATTTACATTCTTGGACCATTTTATGATAATATTTCCATTTAATGCATTTTCTCACTTTGGGGGAAACCAAATCCCTTAAAGGGGTTCTAGAAGAATTCAACTTACCCAAAAGTCTCCTATGACTCAACTGCTGAAGTGGTCTTTGGCAGAATGGCTCAGATATTACATTTCCATAGGACCCAGACCCTTCAGAACACTGGGAGCATTGTTTGCTAAAATTCTAAGGATTTGCTATAACTTTGACATGCATTCACTTTTTAAAAGTTTGATGAAAAGAGAAAACCAGTTATGAAAACTTTTTGTTACTCTATAACGGCAAAAGCAATCCTCAATGTCATGTCCAATCCCCAGAGAAGATTCAAAGATGGTCTATTATATACTCCTCAGCAATACCTGAGGCCCCATCAGACCATCATTGCCACTCCAGGCTGCTGCATTGGTGTTTCTAGGTGTCTCTTCATTCCTTTGGTGTCAGGCTCTTCTTCTGGCTCCACCTGTTCACAGCATTCTTTTTTATAGGAACAATAGAGCAACCTGATCTTTTGCTGAGTTTAATCATGTTAAGCATGTAGAGGGAGACAGACAATTGGCTTCTTAATGCAAAGCATCCTTTATCACCTGTTTCCTCATTCTCACATGAATGTGTTTCTAAGTAGTTCATCTCAGATTGGCTCTTAATTTTCTAGGTGCATATAGAGGGGTGATAGTTGTGAGGGTAGGGATGGCAGTCAAGAATTTTCTCTCCAGCTGAGGCACTTTATTTAGCAAGTGCCATGATTTACAGAGTAAATATGTAGACCAAAGGCATAACTGGGGTTAATGCAGGTGAAATAAACCTAGAGCTCACAGGCTAGGAATCTGTAGTAATATTCACTGTGATACTTTGAAGGTGTGGGATAGGATAGCAGATAAAACTTACAGCTCTGAACTGATAAACATAAATTAAATCTCAGGTCTTCCACTAAATAAATGTGTGTAAATACGTGACTCTGGAAACTTTCTAAATCTCTTTCCTCATCTATTAAATGGGCATAAGAATAGTTTTTTTCTCATAGTATTGTTGTATTTGTGATATAATACATGTGACTCCTTGAGCTCTGTTCCTGACCCACTAAACCCTCAGTAAATGTTACCTATAAGCATCTGCTTTATGTACAAATTGGAAGTACTTTCTAGGAACAACCTCTAATATAATATATAGCACACAGATTTGTTTTGGAAAAACTTTATATACAGGAATAATATGTTCGTATTTTATATCTGTAACCTAATACTATTTAATTTTTGTTGTTTTATAGTAAAATTAATGTTTCTTGTGAGATATTAATATAACATAATACACAGTATTATAACTCACTTTTAAGTGCTGTGACAACAAACCTGAAGGTAGGAAATCCTCTTGGAATTTAGCATATGCTGCAAACAGCAAAATAAATTTCATAGAATAGGCATTTAAAAACGAGTCACAGTTCAGTCGCTGCAGCATTGCAGATATTCTTGGGGGCACTCTGCCATTGGTACAGACTTCAGGAAGGATGAAGAGTGAAGAACAGTGTGATATTAATCATATGATGATGGATTTCTAAAGAATCAGGGCATGAATTCTGGATGTATAGATTTCAGTCACACCTTTCAACTCTTAATAAATAATCTATCTCATTTATAAACATATAAGCCACTTGGTATTTGGGTTAAAAGTGAGGTAACTTAGTTCTATGGTTTTCAGTCTTTCCATGTGTAAATCATTTTAACAGTATGCAAGTAATTCCATATTTGAAACTCCCAGAGAAGATACTTCCATTTCTATCTCTGTACATCACCACAGATCATAATAAATAGCTCTGACCGAGTATGCCAAGAGGTTCTTGCCAAGTACTTTGTTTGAGGGAGGGAGGCAGTGTAGCCTAGTGAGGAGAATGTTTGATTAAGAGTCATCAAACCTTCATCTCAATTCCTAATAGGTAAATTGTGTCCCTTTTCATGCCTCCATTTTCTCTTTAGTCAGATATTATATGACAAAAAATTATAACAGTTATGCAGGTGTCTTGGAACCCAACAAAAGTTTATCATCGTTATTATGTTAAGGTTTAAAAGTCAGACTTTATAACCAAGCCAGGGGGCCGTGTGATTGTAACTGTGCATCTGGAGCAACTCTCTTCGGACTTTTCACGGGCAGAATTCAGCTGAGTCTCCCAGCATCTGATTTTGAGAGGAGTGTGGGAAGATGAGAAACTTAAAAAGCAGTTTCCATCCAGAGTGATCATCTTTACCAAAAGATTTTAGTCTGGTATTATGTCAGGTGGTTTAAATTTAATCATGTTTATCCAGAATCACTGGGATCACAAAATTTGCATCAGCCCAGTCCACACCTGCGAAGTAGTGCTATCCCCTTTCCTCAAAGCACCCTCGGAGCTTTCTGTTATTCCCTTCTAATGAGACCAGATGACTGCCAAGTGACCCATACTCAGTGTTCTCTCTCAGAAGCATCTGAAAACCAACAGGAAAGAAAGAGAAAGAAAAAAACCCAGTAGCTTTAATTTCTTTAGCTTTCTGATTCTTTTTTGACTTGAGGTTAGCTCAGTATAAAGTCACTAGAATCTTGAAGCTAAAATGAATGAGTAATAGCAGTACTTGAGGCTAGCATCAACACGTCTTCAATTGTGGCTGAAGATTTAGAATAAAGCAGTAACAATTATTTCCATTTTAATGGTTCTTTTATACTCTAAAATATTGACTTTTAATGTACTTAGACAACTCTCTAGAAATATTGTGAAGTTGCTACCTTATATAGTGAATGATTATTCAATGTTTTAAACTCCGTATTATTGAAATTTTTCCAACTAAAGCTTTTCTGACTTCAGTGTAAACATTCTTGTCTTTCTGTATTGGATACATTTCTATTTCATCAATAGTTCATTAAAGGTCTTTTATTTTTCTCGCAGTCTGACAGCAATGCAAGCTTCCTCCGTGCTGCCAGAGCAGGCAACCTGGACAAAGTTGTGGAATATCTGAAGGGGGGCATAGACATCAATACCTGCAATCAGGTAAGAACATGGCAGCTAGCTCTGTGTTGTGCAACGAAGGAACACTCATTACATTCTCAGAGCCCAAGATTATTTTTGTCTTTATTAAAAATACTAAAATATCAGTGACTCAGACTTCTGAAATCCCATTTTTTGCCCCCTTACCAACTTTTCAAGTATCAGATGTTTGTATCTAGAGCTAATGTTGCTGAAAAAGCAGATAGATCAAAAACAACAACTGAATGTCAATTTTGTTTGTGAAATGATTTGGGCCACCTTTAGCTGGAATTTTGACCAAGAATGATGTTTTACTTCTCATTTATCATCTAGTAATCCAGATCTTGGCTTCTTTCCTTCTTGACTATATGCACTTTACTCATGGGAAACTGATTATTACAATTTAGTATACAGAAATAAGAGGATAAAATGTTCTCCTAATTAATTTTAAAATATGGCTCATAATGAGAATAATTTGAAATTATTATTGTAAATGATGTATCCATTCATCATGTCCATTTCATAAGGACTTTAGAGAATATTATACACTTTGGATATTATTTGGTACCAACGTTGACATTTTTGTGCTATTTTTGAGTAAGATTTTTACATCATGAATTAAAGTGTCTAGTGGACTGCAGTATTCACTTCAATGCTAAATGTTGTGTTGTGTGTTGTGTGTATGTGTTTGACAGAGACCTAACTAGGAAGTGAATAATTCTGGCTAATTTTAAGTTAAAAGGAGGTAAATGTCACTACTGGATTCTAAATTATATATAAATTCCTTTTTCTATATCCTGGTATATATTGAACCCAGTTATGTTTACTTTATAGACCACTGAAATTAATAAATCTTTCAAAAACAACTTTTCAGAAACTGAGCCCGGTATCTTATCCTCAAACTTATTGTACTCCCTAATTCCTACCTGCTGATTTCCTCACCAATGTGCCATTCCAACCCAACTGTTTCCCGTTCCTCATCTTTCCCCCTCTCCAGCCCAGCACTCCTCTCTTTGTTCACCTTCTGCATCCAGATTACATGAGCTCGGATCACCTTGTGGTACTTAACAGAGTTGTCATAACAGCCTTCTTACTAGGTTCTGTCTTCAATCTTGTCCACTTTGATCAATTCTCCACATAATGCCTTGAGCGATAAATAAAATAAAAATAAGATTACAACACTTCCTTCCTCCCCAAACTTCTATGGCTACCCTATATGGCTACCAATTCCCAGATCAGTGAGGTGGTTGTTTCAAAATCACCTGCAGGCTTTTGCAAAGGGTACAGGATTTCCCTCCTTCTTCTTCAGAGTCACTGGCATAAAGAGCATTGTCACTGATGTCAATATTTCTCATATTTTAGGGGAGTGTGTCTCTTACCGTGAAAACATGTTGAGAGCTACTTAATGTTGGGAAAGGCATTCTGCTGTGGCCCTGAGCAGTCCTGCAGATACTTTTGGGAATAACAAGAATGAAAGACTTTGGGATTGCTTTTTATCTGGGCTATTTCTCAGGGTGGTGCTCGCAGTGAGCAACCTTGAGGGATTAGGCGATATCTCCCTCTAGCTACAAAGCAGGCCTGTATGAATCCCCCAAGGTCAGTGTTCTTCTTTAACACAACCCACATGTATGGGCATCCATCATTGGTCCTTTGTGTCAACCCTGTTAGATATGGGGGAAGAAAGGGATAGGGAACTGGTATAAGCAGCAGGCTGACACTTGGCTACTGCTTTTGCTCTGAATTACAACGTCCTTTGTTTCTCACCCAGAAGACTTGTGTCTTCTACTAGCATTATGAAACAGTAATGGTTTAGTTTTTAACTCTTTGGTAAGATAAAATCTCAAGAACTTTACATAGTTCTTAACACTGACCTATGGAATAAACCCAAATTACTGTATTCCAATATGTAAAATCTTCGTATGTTGTGTCTACATTCCTCCATCTTATTTTTCATTATGAATCATTTTATCTGATTTTTTTTTGTGTTCTTTTGGACAAATAATTTGAACTTTAGATACATTAGTTACCTTAAGAAAGAAAGAACATTCAAACTCCCATATGGATATATGGACTTATTCTATAAAATACTTATGAAGTTGAATATGAAATATTTATTTATTTATTTTTATTTTATTTTATTTTATTTTTTATTATACTTTAAGTTCTAGGGTTCATGTGCACAACATGCAGGTTTGTTACATATGCATACATGCGCCATGTTGGTGTGCTGCACCCATTAACTCGTCAATTACATTAGGTGTATCTCCTAACGCTATCCCTCGCTCCTCCCCCCACCCCACAACAGGCCCTGGGTGTGTGATATTCCCTTTCCTGTGTCCAAGTGTTCTCATTGTTCAATTCCCAGTTATGAGTGAGAACATGCGGTGTTTGGTTTTTTGTCCTTGAGATAGTTTGCTGAGACTGATGGTTTCCAGCTTCATCCGTGTCCCTACAAAGGACATGAACTCATCCTTTTTTATGGCTGCATAGTATTCCATGGTGTATATGTGCCACATTTTCTTAATCCAGTCTATCATTGATGGACATTTGGGTTGGTTCCAAGTCTTTGCTATTGTGAATAGTGCAGAATATGGAATATTTAATACTTTTCACGTAAACTTAGGTTTCCAGGCTGGAGTGCGGTGGCGTGATCTCGGCTCACTGCAGGCTTCGTCCCCTGGGGTTCACGCCATTCTCCTGCCTCAGCCTCCCGAGTAGCTGGGACTACAGGCGCCCGCCACCACGCCCGGCTAATTTTTTGTATTTTTAGTAGAGACGGGGTTTCACCATGTTAGCCAGGATGGTCTCGATCTCCTGACCTCGTGATCAGCCCGCCTCGGCCTCCCAAAGTGCTGGGATTACAGGCGTGAGCCACCGCGCCCGGCCAAACTTAGGTTTCTTTAAGTAGATTAAATGCACTCCCTAAATGTCAATTTGTTAACTTTCTAAATTTACAATATGCTAGAGAATAGACAATGAAACCGTTAGTTCATTTAGGTAAACTTATCATAAATAACACCAAAAAAGAGAACCTAAGGAAAAGAAAGTTCATTTCAAACCAAGTCTACTTCACACTGAAGTATAACAAATACATTAATTGTATGAAAGGTCTTAGGGTTATTTTGAGAAAGAATAATCTCTCAACAGTAAATACTCAATTCTTATCATATTTATAGACCATCTTAGCTTCTTGAGTTAGCTTTTTCTTATAGTGGCCAGCCATCCACTAACATGTCACTATAAAAGGAAAGAACATTTATTTCTGTGAGAAGGCAACATGATCTCATGAAGCCCACACAAAATTTAGAGCCCACAGGTTCAAATTCAAGTTTCATCTCTACTTTGAAGAAGTCAGCTCACTTTAGAAAGTGATATTTTTCTAACTTGTAAAACAGGATAAAAACAATACATTCAATGCTTATACCCCTGGGTTGCAATTTAAGTTAAATTATGAAATGTAAAAGGAGTTTCTAAGGTACATGTGTTCTAATTACAATTACTGTATATAATTCACCAAGAATTATACAAATTAAAATTGACTTACACTCAAAATATGAGGTTGATTCTCTTCAATTCCCTGACTCGCCAGGTATAAAGTAAATGCAAGGCCAGGTGTGGTGGCTCACACCTGTAATCCTAGCACTTTGGGATTACAGTGGGAGGCTGAGGCAGGAGGATTGCTTGAGCCCAGGAGTTCCAGGCTGCAGTTAGCTATGATCGTGCCACTGTGCTTCAGCCTGAGTGGGTGACAGAGTAAGACCCTGTCTCTTAAAAAAATAAATAAATAAAACAGGCCAGGCGCAGTGGCTCACACCTGTAATCCCAGCACTTTGGGAGGCCAGGAGGTGGGTGGATTGCCTGAGATCAGGAGTTCGAGACCAGTCTGGTCAACATGGTGAAACCCCGTCTCTACTAAAGATACAAAAAAATTAGCCGGGCGTGGCAGCAGGCGCCTGTAATTCCAGCTACTTGGGAGGCTGAGGTGGGGGAATTGCTTGAACTAGGGAAGTGGAGGTTGCAGTGAGCCAAGATTGCGCCACTGCACTCTAGCCTGCGCGATAGAGTGAGACTCCATCTCAAAAAAAAAAAAAAAAAATTCCCCAAAGTAAATGCAGTCTCATGCTGGTTCTGTATTTTTATTAATACTATTCAAGACAGTATATTAATTAAATAAAGATTAGGGAAATACAGTGACTAATGTTACCTGCTTAGCTACTGTGTATTAGACTTTGTGCTGGGGCTTTACATGTGATGTCTTATCAGTCAACTGAGATGAAATATTGTGAGACAGGGATTAGTTCAAGTTTACAAATGTAGAAACTGGGCCCACAGTGGTTAAGTGACATTCCCAGGGCCACATGGATCTGTCTGTGTCCCAAGTCCAAGCTTTTTTCTGCTGCAGGATATCTTTTTGAGTAGCTATTTGGAGCTGCCCTTCAAAGTAATACAGTGGTGATGTCCTTTATCTTAAAGCTCAAAACTTATTTTTAATCTACTACTGCTAATATAAAAATAACTTTATTCATAGGTGGTTACAGGATCTTTTAAGTCAAAGAGCACCACCACCAGGATTTCTACTAAAACTCAAATACAATATAGAACAGGAAATGATTTCTAAATACCCAGGAAAGTAAAAGAGACAACTATTCAGCCAAACTATTGCTATTTCTAAGTATACAATATTCAAAGATAATATGGCATATGAAAGAAGAAAAGAAAATGTATCCTCTAGTTTGCTGCTAAGCCTGAGTTTCTAGGGAGCATTACAATATGTAATGTAGAAACCAGGACTTTCTGTACTCTGTTGCATTTCTCAATGAAAGGCAATCTGAGCTGCACCAGCTTTCCAAAAATATCACATGTGTTGGCGTGCTAAGATTCCTTAAACTGAAATTTGAATCAATGTTTTTTCTTTATAAAATTGGTTTCACAACTACCATGAGAAGTTTAAAATGTAATTCCCAAATACTATTTTGCTTTTAATTATTTAAATGATATGGGGAAAATTCATAAATTTGGCACATGAAAATACTCTAAAAGAATGTCAAGTTTTCATTTTTCTTTTTTAAATGATTACTAATATGGTTAACTTTTATTTTCTTTAAAAGATTACACCAGTCATCTTTTTACCGTATTATCTCTTGTACATTTAGAAGAGAAAATAAATCTTAGCGTTCAATTTATTTCTGAAACTCATAAAGACTTACTTTCTTACCTATTCCCTATTTAGTAATTCTGCATAACTTAATACTGTTACAAACAAGATTAACATTCGGACATTAAAAATAAACTGTATAGTATTTTAATAAAAGTTTGTAGCCAGTTACAAGTCAATAAAAACCCCAGTAGTTTCAGAAAGTTTCATCATGTATACAATTTATTAGTTTCACTATAGTGACTTCAAAATGAAAGACTATCACTTAGCATTTATTTAATACAATCCTGGATATGATACCAGTGATTAACAGGTCTTAAAATGCCCTGAATTTTGGCCTTGGCCTTTTACCATTGGAGTTTAAAGGTGCAAAATTATCAGTTAAATCCTGTGTTTCCTTTTTTATAAACAGAAGGCAAGGTCGAAGCACCATTTTCAAAACAATATTAATGTTCCTCAAATAGCAGACCTTTAGCAACAAGAAGATACACTCAGCAATGACTTTAGCATATGCTCACACAGTATGACTCAGACCATGAAGCATATTTGGAAGTCACATTAACAATGTGGATGCTGGAAACCAAATTCTAGTTTTCCCCACTTACCAGCTGAGTGACCCTCGGCAGTCAGCTTCTGCAGGCCTGAGTTTTCTCAACTGGAGTGAGCATAACAACACTGAAGTTTTAGGGTTGTTTTGATGATTAAGTGAAATGTTTGCAAAATGCTTGGCAGAGCAAGTACTCAATAAATACTTGTGAAAATGATGCTTATTATAATAATGTAATTTTTTTATATTGATTCTCAACCTAAGCTTTAGCAAAAGTAGCACTGATTCGCACAAGCAGGACAGAACATAAAAGGTATTGCCATAGCCTGTATCACCAAATAGAAAAAAATTATGATTAGTAGCAATTTGGTAAAGTTACTATTTATCTGGGTTGCATTAAACTGAAATATTTATCTGGAACTAAAATCTTTTTCACAAATGCCATTTGGGTTCATCTGGTTTAGACTTCTCTTTAAAAATACTAAAAACAATTCTATTAGCCTGGGACCTTATAAAAACAACAAAAATGAATAGGGGAGAATTAAATTCATGGAATTAATGGAACATGGAATGAGCTATATGCAGTTTTCTAACCAGTTAAATTAGGCACAAATATATATGCAAAAATATAACTATATAGCTAAATGCTTATTATTGACCCCTCATTTAGAAGAAGCAAAAGGTGATGTTTCCATCTGGTTCTGGTTATGTGGTTTTGGATTCTGTGCCATCCTGTAATCTCTTTCGATGCATCAGTGCTGGTCCTTGCTCTATACTGGGTAGTGCTGATTCAGGTTAGAATTGAGTAACACCTGTCTAATATTTTGAGTACTTAGAAATTTTAGTTTACTTGTTGATATTTGCTCAATGTAAAGTAAATCCAGTAGAGAGTTTTCATCAACTACTTGCCCCCAGCTCTAAAAACTTCATTCTGTTTACAATTAGGCAGGTTTATGAAGATTTCGAAATGTGACTCTTCTTTCATTTTAAAAATGCTGGGAGTAGCTTCATGCAAATTATTTCTATGACTGTCTTATTAAGTACTCTCCGCAGTGGTTTAGATCGGAACAGAACACTTTATAATCTGGAAATTCTCTTGAACACTCTCTTTCTATGGCTAAGCGACATGGATTTTAATATCTGACTCCAAGCAGCCACTCCACTCTTCCTAGCTCATCTTAGATAGTAGAATCGCAGCATTTTTTTCTGCCGGTCTGAACTCAGGCACGCTATTTGTTCATCTACTTACTCAAACATGTATTGTGTGTTTACTCAGTGGCAGGCTCTGTCCTAGGTGCTGGGGATGGAGCAGTGCAGAGAGACAAAAACTCTGCTCTCATAAAGCTCACAATCTACAACCTGAGAGAAGAAAAGGCAGTAAGTGATATGGAGGAAAATACAGCAGGGGAGAAGGAGAGAGGGGTGGAATGGGAGCGGTGTGTCACTTTAGAGGGGATGGACAGAAGAAAACCTAAAGAAATTGAGCAAGGAGGCCGTGCATGCTGTGGAGGGAGCACACTTTAGAAGAAGGCTTGACAGGTGAGAGAACCGCACAGAAGGAGCATGCTGGCATGTTCAAGGGCCAGCAAGGAAGCAAGCCTGCCTGGAGTAGAATGAGGGAGGGGAAGCGTAGGAGGAGGTTGGGGAGAGCAGAAAGCAGCATTGGGTCATGTAAGGCCTTGTGGGCTATTTTAAGGACTTTGGCTTTAATTCCGAATGAGCAGAGAAGTGATTAGAGGGTTTTTAGTGGAAGAGTGACATACGCTGACGAGTCTTAATAGTAAGGCTCAGGCTGAAAGGGAACAAGGGCAGAAGCAGGGAACACTTTTGTGATACTTTAGGTGAGAAGTGAGGTGTTTTACAGTAGAGCAACAGGCAGGAGAATTGGTGAGACGTGGCTGGATTCTAGACACATTTCAAAAATACAGCTGATTTTGTTGATGGAGTTAATGTAGGATGAAGGCAAAAGAGGAATTAGGCATGAGGGTTGAGGTCACAATGGAAAGAATGAGAGCTGAAGTTTTATTAACTGAGATGGGGAAGACTGTGTGAGGAGCAGGTTTGAGGGAATACTCAGCAGGTCAGTTTTGAACATGTTAAGTTTGATTTGTTTGTGTGATATCCAAGATATTCAGTAGGCAGTTGGATATATGAATTTTCTAGGGTCCAGAAAAAAGATTTTGGCCTGAAGTGTACATTTTGGCATACCCAGTGTATAGATAGTATTCAAAACCGTGTTACTGCATGAGGTCACCAAAAGAGAGAGAGTTTATGAAAAATAGAATAGGTTCAGGGGCTTGGCCCTGGAGTACTACAATATTTAGAGGTCAGGAAGATGAGAAGCCATCAAGGAGAATGGGAAAGAGTGTCCAGGGATGTAGGAGGAAAACCTGAAGTTGTGATTTCTTAGAAGCCAAGTGAAAACATTATTTTCAGATGGATGAAATGATAAACTCTGTAAAATGCTGTTGATCCAATAAGCTGAGGAACTGAACAACAGCCTTAGTAATGTGATGGAAACTGGTGACTTGATCATAGCAATTTTGGTGGAGTGGAGGGGTAAAAGCTGGACTGGAGCTCATTCAATGGATGACGGGCAGACCAAGGACTGCTTCAAGGGCTCTTTCTATAAAAGAAAGAAGAGAATAAGAAAAGTAGCTGGAAGAGGAAGTGGAATCAAGAAGGCTTTCTTTGTAATAGGAAAGAAATAATAGCTTTGTTTTGTTGATGGAAAAATATCAACAGGGAAGGAAAAATAAATAATTTGAGAGAGAGATGGGAGAATTACTGGATGGTGTCCTTGAGTTGATGAGAAGTGGGGATGGAGCTTGGTGCACAAGTGGAGGGACTGGCTTTTGCTAGAATCGTGGATAGTTCAGGAAAAGGAAAGATGTATGGGCAGAGGAGCAGGAAGTGGTGTGGGTGCCGTGCTGGGAGCTGGTTGTGGGGTGGAAGTTCTAATTGCTTCTGTTTTTTTCAGCGAAATATGATTCTAGGTTATCAGCTGAGAGTAAAGATAGGAGAGGAGGGGATGGAGGTGGAGGAGGGAGAAGGTGTGAAATAATAATCCAGGAGAGTGGGAGAGATAGCAGTTGAGGGTAAGACAGTATGATTGGCAGGCAGCATGAAGGGTCTGCTTGAGCATCATGATCAGGAATTTAAAGTGAGTGGAGGTGGCATGTGTGTGTGTTCTTCTGCAGCTACATTCAGACATGGGATCACATGGAGAGTTATATATAGCCAGGAATGTGGTTTAGCTAAACACATATGGCAGAACTAGAGAAACACAAGGGAACTGAGGATGCATATAAGGTAATGAATAAAATAACGATAAAGACTATGCATAGGATTCATGCCAAGTGAGGAGATAAGTGGGCACCGTGAAAAGATGAATAGGCTCTAACTATTAAGGATTGAAGGATTTCTGGAGTTGGATGAGTAGATTAGCAAGAGAGTAAGTGCTGTTCAGAGGGTTGGATGCTTAAAATTGAAATACTAGAGGAAGTTTATAATTATTGGAAAGGAAAATGTCTAGAATGTGACCATGGAAGTGAGCGGATAAGGTAGAGAAAAGAAGGAATCATTGAGGAATTCAAGAACCTGAACACCTGGAGTTTTGGAAGAGTCACCTGTGTATATGTAGGAGAAAGTGGCAGTGAGCTAGAAGCTAAAATCTTCAAGGGACAAGGAATGGCATCAAGAGGATACAGGCTGATGACATCAGGAGGTTTAAAAAGAGGAGGAAGAAAAATAGTTTAAAAGAGTTTAAAAGAGTGGTGAGAAGCAAGAAGCAAAATAGAGCTCCCCCAAGTTCGGTGATTAATAGGAATACGAGATCCAAAGACACTGCTTCCCTGAAGTCTACTCAAGTGAAGTATGCATCACTTGAGTAGACTTCAGGGAAGCAGTGTCTTTGGATTCTAGTTAGAGCAAGAAGCTTAAAAGGGATATTTAGAGAACAGATTTAGCCCAGAGTATTTGCTAATGACTACACCCATGCATTCTAAAGGATCAGTGTGGGAGTTTTGGGAAATGGGAAGTGATAGGAGACAGAATCAGAAAAGGAGGTATACAGAAGTGGAGAGGGATAAGATTTGCAGGGATGATGGTGGAGTTGGTGACTATCATAAACAGGGATAGAGGACATGATAAGTTTAGCCCAGACAGTCCCAAGCAGATAGCAATTGTGACTTTGTGGAAACTATCTGGAGAAAGAAGTGGAGGGAATCTCTCCAGGAGTCTGTAGAGTTCAGGAGTCCCATCTTGATTTTTGCTGTTGGAGACAAAGAGAGGAAAGATCTTAATGCAAATATGCACTCACTGCAATTCTTCCAGTATGCACTACAAACACAGGTGGTGTGTGAGATGAGGTGAAGCTGCCATTCCTGCCTAGTCATTTTTCTCCTGGTTATTTTCTTTGTGCCTTTAAGAATCTTCCAGCCCTTTTGCAGTAGCTGAGATTTTGCCAACTGATGTTCTCATATTCTGTTTTATGGCTGATCATTAATTCTTTTATTATTATTATTATTATACTTTAAGTTCTGTGATACATGTGCAGAACGTGCAGGTTTGTTATATAGGTATACACTTGCCATGGTGGTTTGCTGCACCCATCAACCCATCATCTACATTAGGTATTTCTCCTAATGCTGTCCCTCCCCTAGCCTCCCACTCCCCAACAGGCCCCGGTGTGTGATGTTTCCCTCCGTGTGCCCATGTATTCTCATTGTTCAGCTCCCACTTATGAGTGAGATGCAGTGTTTGGTTGTCTGTTCCTGTGTTAATTTGCTGGGAATGATGGTTTCCAGCTTCGTCCATGTCCCTGCAAAGGACATGAACTCATCCTTTTTTATGGCTGCATAGTATTCCATGGTGTATATGTGCCACATTTTCTTTATCCCGTCTATCATTGATAGGCATTTGGGTTGGTTCCAAGTCTTTGCTATTGTGAATAGTGCTGCAATGAACACACATGTGCATGTGTCTTTATAGTAGAATGATTTATAATCCTTTGGGTGTATACCCAGTAATGGGATTGCTGGGTCAAATGGTTTGGTTCTAGATCTGGTTCTAGATCCTTGAGGAATTGCCACTCTGTCTTCCACAATGGTTGAGCTAATTTACACTCCCACCAATACTGTAAAAGTGCTCCTATTTCTCCAAATCCTCTCCAGCATCTGTTGTTTCCTGACTTTTTAGTGATAGCCATTCTAACTGGTGTGAGATGGTATCTCATTGTGGTTTTGATTTGCATTTCTTTAATGACCAGTGATAATAAGCTTTTTTTCATATGTTTGTTGGCCACATAAATGTCTTCTTTTGAGAAGTGTCTGTTCATATCCTTTGCCCACTTTTTGATGGCATTGTTTTTTTCTTGTAAATTTGTTTAAGTTTCTTGTAGATTCTGGATATTATCCTTTTGTCAGATGAACAGATTGCAAATTATTTCCCCATTCTGTAGGTTGCCTATTTACTCTGATGAAAGTTTCTTTCACTGTGCAGAAGCTCTTTAGTTTAATTAGATCCCATTTGTCAATTTTGGCTGTTGTTGGCATTGCTTTTAGTGTTTTAGTCATGAAGTCTTTGTCCATGCCTATGTCCTGAATGGTATTGCCTAGGTTTTCTTCTAGGGTTCTTATGGTTTTAGGTCTTACATTTAAATTTTTAATCCATCTTGAGTTGATTTTTGATAAGGTGTAAGGAAGGGGTTCAGTTTCAGTTTTCTGCATATGGCTAGCCAGTTTTCCCCACACCATGTATTAAATAGGGAAGGCACAGCTTGAGCAGACTTAAACGTTCCTGCCTGCCAGCTCTGAAGAGAGCAGTGGATCTCCCAGCACAGCACTCGAGCTCTGCTAAGGGACAGACTGCCTCCTCAAGTGGGTCCCTGACTCCCATGCCTCTTGACTGGGAGACACCTTACAGCAGGAGCTGACAGACACCTCATACAGGAGAGCTCTGGCTGGCATCTGGCAGGTGCCCCTCTGGGATGAAACTTCCAGAGGAAGGAACAGGCAGGAATCTTTGCTGTTCTGCAGCCTCTGCTGGTGATACCCAGGCAAACGATCTGGAGTAGACCTCCAGCAAATTCCAGCAGACCTGCAGCAGAGGGGCCTGACTGTTAGAAGGAAAACTAACAAACAGAAAGGAATAGCATCAACATCAACAAAAAGGACGTCCACACAAAAACCCCATTTGAAGGTCAGCAACATCAAAGACCAAAGGTAGGTAAATACACGAAGATGAAGAAAAACCAGGGCAAAAAGGCTGAAAAAAAGATTCTAAACAGTTTTTTCTTCCCTCTGTAGAAGTTTCCCAGTACTTTCCCACCCATCCCTCCCTCCCCTCCTGGATATCTTCCCGTGTCTCTCTCTCTCTCTCTCTCTCTCTCTTCTCTCTCTCTCTCTCTCTCCCTCACTCACTCTCTATCTCTGTATTGATGATTGTAAAGAAGTAAACAAATCCTATGATCTCTAGTCTTTTCAAGGCCTCTTCTCTTATGGAATACATAGAAGAAAAGAAAAAGGAAACCTTATTTTAAAATGGCAACTTCTTCAAATTGGGAATTCTCTTCTTAGAAAAAAAGGAATTTGTGTAGAAGAGAATTCGTCAGAATTAAGCAGTGGTTGTCAGATTGATGTGGGCATGATCAGAGCAACTGTCTGTGAATGAAGCTGCATATGTGCAAGTGTAGAGCCTCATGTGGCAGTTGTTTTTAGTCCCCATACTCAGTTCATTTTTTACCTTTTTCCTCAGAAATGAAAGGTCTTCAGGGTAGGATAAAAGAGACCAAGATGCAGATGAGCAAGAGCCCATAAAGGCACACCTTGGGGCATAAGGACACTTCCCCATTCCACACCCCACCCCACCCCCTAAACTGTCATTACTTAAAAAAAAAAAAGAAAGCTCTTTATGCAGGCTGGAGTGGGCAGAGGGGACAGTTTGAAATAAATCTCTGCACCTCAGTGGGTATGCAGTCATTGCTGCAGTCAGTGAAGGCTGTTACTGCCCTTGGGAAAAAGAGAATTTGCAATGTGATATTTCCTTTGAGGAATAAAGGAAGACAGCAACAGTGCCTATGGGAGTTAGAGGAGGGAAGCAGGCAGAGAAAACCATTTATCAGAAAGTTGAGAATATAGTTTCTCATCCAAAGTAACCTCAGAAGTTTTTCAAGAGATTTGTTGTTCAAGTTCCCTTGGAATTATAAGTCTCGATGCCAAACTAATGGTCACTTTGGCCCTTTTTAACAACTCTACTTTTAGTGAAATTTTTGCATCTTAAAAAAGACACTAGTTTCTTATTAACCAATTGTGTCCCCAGCTAGCAGTTTTGCAATATGCAGACAGGAAAGCAAGTCCCGCAAACTGGGAACTTGGAACTTTAGCAACACAGGAAATTTGAGGGGTTTACAAAGAAAAGCTCACAGAGTATACAAATATAAACAGGGTTAAAATTAAACTTACCAGGGAGAGACACTATCACTGACTTACATGAACCTATTTCAAAGAATGATTTATAAACTAGAATTTAAGCTTCAGTGTCATATAACGACAGGAGCACAGTGTTGGAAAGAACAAGACCCAGGATTGACACATAATAGATATCCAATTAATATTTGATAAATGAATGATTGAGTGGATATTGGGCCAGCCACTTAAATCATTCTGAATCTCAAATTATCCATTCATGAAGTGGGAAATAATAATACCTGTTATATCAAATAATAGTTTATTGCATGCCTATTACATCCTCATCACTGTGCTACAGTGTATGTGTTACATAGTGTGTGTGCGTATATACATATGTACATATGTATAATCTTCACAACATACTTCTCTACTTTAAAAGGAGACGATTGGGTCCTCAGATGATACATATGAAAATCAATTGTGTTGTGCACACTCATTTAGGAAACCAAATTATGGCTCTGATGGTTATATTTACATAGAATTTGGTTAGCAAAGTTAGGCTAGCCACAAATGATTATTTCACCCACATCAGAGTAGATGGACGGACAAATTCTGGACAAGTACTAACAAGTATATTCCTTTTGATTTTGGCTATGAAGTTTCTAATTAATTGTTATAATTTCTTTTAGATAATTTATAGTCCTATGGGACACAGGAAAGCTTCTAATACTTAGGAAGGTTCTAGTCATGCCTCCTTAAGCATCCACTCTGCTTTCTAGATGGAAAGATCCACATATTATTAGGTTCTATTTACAAACCAACTCTTAAGACAACATTTCTTCTACTTATAGGGGGAAACTTCTTTTGGTCCCCTAAGAAAATACATCTGTGTGCCTCAGTTTGAGAAAACCTGCATCAAAATTTGAATGTTCCCTTTAAGTGATTCCTTGAAATAAACACAATCAGAAGCATGATCAAGAACAAAAAATTACTAAATGTTAATTAAATATGATTATCCAGATGACCCAGAATATGCTTCTATTAATGTGTTTCAGATTGGCACTAAAATAAACATGTAAAATTTAAAAATTGTCATAGAACTCTGAGATCCTTAATAACAAAGGCTATTTAAATTAAGTCCTTCCTTCAGAATCTAGTTTCCCCTTGTATGTGTTAATGGTAACCAATTTGGGCCTCAGAGAGTGAATGTCTCCTGATTTTGTTTCCAAAGATGGATATATTTATACCTGACTTGTTCATGCACTGACTTGCATTTGCTGACAAAATGTAGAGTACCTGGGTGAATTAAGCAAACTCCTATTTACCTTCATACTGTACACATTATTAATTAGCCCATTTATTGTACAAACATTATTGAAGTGCACCTTTTTTGTGCCAGGTACTATATTAGGTGTAGAGGTTACCAGTATTAATAAAATTTGACCATTTCTCATGAAAAAGAAGCCTTGTTGGGAAGATAAACAGGAAACACACAAATACAATAAATTGGTTAAAAGAACCAAATTTTATGATTGCTCAGAGGAGAAAGTGACTAAGCCAGCTTGTGTGTCTCAGACATACCTGAAATTGATACCAAACACCATTTATAGGAATTATTTTATAATGATGGAAAACAGAGTACCAGGGTGTTATTTAGAAGACTCTTCAAAGCTTTTATTGTCTAATGCTCCCTCCTCTCTCTTCCCACAGAGTCCAGCATGCCAAATTTGGCTTATTTTTAATTAAAATTATAAAAAATGTGGAGAAGATCGGAAGTCATTGTAATGCTCTAATAATATTACCAAACTTTTATATTGATACCTTGAAATATAGACTTGGTTTCTAGCACAATGTTTAGCAAACAATAAATAGTCAACAAATGTTTTAGTATGTGAATACTTGAATTTAGTTACTATTTATTGAATTTAAGCTATCCCTAGTCTATTAATTTGAAAACTCTGTATCATGTTTTATCCGAGTTTAGTATTTTGTTCAAAAATATTTCTTTACTTGTGCCTCATTAGAAGCAGGAGGATAGGGCACACACTGGAATCTGCTGTGGAATTTCTTTAGTTCTAGCCTCCCTTTTTGCTTCCTTTCCTTCGAGGTCCTGCCACCTCTTTCTTCTCAATTCCGATGTCACCGTTGGTGCCTGGAGGCATCTCCACTTCTGGCTGTCTCACTAGAGAATTCTCTTGTTTCATGGTACATACTCCTTCCCCTGCTTGCCAACCTTGATAAATTCTATGTCAGTAGGAGAAAGTTCAGGTTTTTAATGCCCTCTTTTAAGATGGGTTCATTGAAATGTTAAATGAGTCAGTGATAAACATGCAGAACTAAGACCTAGTCTTTTGGATTGTATCTTTAAAAACTTCTAGAAATTATACTCTTATTACTTGTCATCTGATCTTAGAAACACAGAATTTTGTTATTACTTGTCATCTGATCTTAGAAACACAGAATTTTGTTACTGTAAAAAAAAACTTAAGGGAGAAACCATTCTAAACCCTTTGCTCCATTTTTACTTAGCATTTACTTTTATTTATTTATTTATCTATTTATTTACTTATTTTGAGGCAAGGGGTTTGCTCTGTCACCCAGGCTGGAGTGCAGCCTCAGCTTCCCAAGTAGCTGAGATTACAGGTGCACACCACTGAGTCAGGCTAATTTTTTAGTTTTCATTTTTTGTAGAGACAGGGCTCTCTATGTTGCCAAGGCTGGTCTTGAACTGCTGGGCTCAAGCAATCCTCCCGCCTCGGCCTCCCAAAGTGCTCGGATTATAAGCGTGAGCCACTGTGCCTGCCTAGAATTCACTTTTAAATGCTGAGCTTGGCATGCATTTGACACCATAACATTCTACAATTCATTTTAATGTTTTTTTTTTTCTAATTTTGATGTATTTGGACATTAAATATCTACAAACCTAAAAGAAATAATTTTTAGAGACTGAGATATTTTCTATTAAAAAATAGAGCTAATGAGAAGTTGAGGTCTAAAGAAAATAAAATAGGATTATGATGCAGAGGCCATTGGTTTTTGTGTTACGGAGGCCAGGGAGGTGAAAAGGGGAGGAGGTTTAAAAGTGCAGTTTCTGAGCCAGAATCACCAGGTAGTTGATAACTCAGAATGTTCAGTTCAGGATTATATGAATTAATGCAATTAAGCACTTAGAACAGAACCTGACACAGAAGAATAAACTCTGATACATTTTAGCTATTATTTAAATGATTTGCCACTCACTTTTAAATTTAATTTTTACATTCCTTTAAACCATGACTATTATAATAAGTAGTTCAGATAATTTTTCTTCTTTGAGCCTTATAGAAATGTTTTCTTCTTATACATGTTAAGCCAACTACTAAAGAAATAATTTACCTATGTAATCTTATAAAAATTAATTTAACCAAAGAAATGAGAGACCACATGAAAATGGCATTTACATAGGAGAGTTGAGGCTGGGTATGGTGGTTCACGCCTATAATCCCAGCACTTTGGGAGGCCGAGGTGGGAGGATCACCTGAGGTCAGGAGTTTGAGACCATCCTGGCCAACAGGGTGAAACCCCGTCTCTACTAAAAATACCAAAAAAATTAGCCAGGTGTGGTGGCATGTGCCTGTAATACCAACTACTCGGGAGACGGAGGCAGGAGAATCGCTTGAACCTGGGAGGCGGAGGTTGCACGATGAGTTGAGATTGCACCACTGCATTCCAACCTGGACAACAAGAGCAAAATTCCATCTCAAAAAATTAAATGAATAAATAAATAAATAGAGTTGAAATGTTCAGTAGTAAAATTGCAACTCTTTAAATTATTGACAAGGGTGACTACTAATAAACCAAGCTCCTTTTACCCATCTACTTCCTAGGTTTTATTGTAATTCAAAATACTTAAAAAAATACATCACTTTTGCATACGTTAATACTTTTGCTAGCCTACGTAAACGTATGTTGAACTCAAAAATGCTCAATTCATCTCATCACATTTAGCCAAATCTTAGTGATGGAACATTGGCAGGGCTGTGGATGGGGAGAGCAGGAATATATACATGTATTACTGTTTGCATGTAACTGGGAAATAATAATACCTTACATTTGTTTTTTACTTCACAAATTACAAACAGAATTAACCTACATTGTTTGATACTCTTAAATAACTATCTGAGGTAGGCAAAGTAGGACATTTCCCTTTTTTACTATTGAAGAAACCTTAAATCCTATTGTTTAGGACTGGAGAGACAGCACGGGAGCTCAGATTTCCTTTTGCCCTGTGCCCGTGTTCTTCACTCTGCCACCGTCCCTCTCAGAACCCCAAATGTGGACACGATTTAGCCAATATTCTCAAAATGAAGAATTCTGCTTCATCCCATTGTCAGTCCTTTTATTTGCATCACAACACCCATCTAAAATGAAAATTAAGTTCAGAAAACTCAAATAAGTCTACCAACAAAACCATTTCTTTTCTTTTTTAAAAAATTTTACTTTAAGTTCTGGGATACATGTGCTGAATGTGCCGGTTTGTTACGTAGGTATACGTGTGCTATGGTGGTTTGCCGCATCTATCAACCTGTCATCCAGGTCCAACAAAACCATTTCTAAATGTCCATTATCCTCCCTTAAAGTGATTTTTGTGAGTGCCAATGTTTTATTTATTTGATCTAAAAGGACATCTAACTTCCCCAAGATGACCTCCTGTCTCAGGTCTTGACTAAACTTCTTTTTTGCAATCCAGAGCATGCCTGCATGTGCACACACACACAGACGTGTGTATAAAAAGTTTCACCAAAACCCCTCAAAATCAACAGAGTCCACCCACAGTGCACTCTGTCTTTCTTTATGCTACTTCATGATTTGAACCATGCTGATTAGCAGTCCATTAGATTGAATTTATGACCCGTTTATGCATCGTGACCTACAGTCTGAAATACTGGTTTAGCATTTAATTATTTTAAATAAAAAAGCATGGGTCTGGAAATCAGATAGATCTGAGTTTGGATTTTTTGCTCTTCCTCTTATAAGTGGTAGTGATCTTTGAGGCAAATCACTTGACTTCTGAGAATTTTAGTGTCATCATCTGTAAAGCATAATAAAATATGCTGTAATATAATATATGTAAAATGTAAAATATAATAGTGATTCCTATGTCATTAACATTTCTTATTCTTTCATTCATCAAATATTTATTTCTCAGCACTCATAACCTCTTCATTTTTCTTGATTTTAGTAAGATTCCGAAGACCAATTTTTACAGTTTTTTCTTCTCCCAGGCAAATGCACTACCATATTCAGTGTCATTCTCTATATTTTAGGGATTGCATTATTTAAAAAAAAAAAAAAAAACAACCCTTGATGGGGCTAGACAGGGAGAAAAGATCAGTGGCCAAAAAGGGAGCTACCATCCGGGGCGCTAGACGGGACTCCGCTATGGATGAAGTGGAGATCCTGGTGTGGACTATATAGAGTGACATCTTCAAAGTATTCTTATTCTAGCCCTTTTTCACTATGAAATAATCGATAACCTGAACAGCCAAATTCCAGATCTCATTGTAAATATTTTTAAGTTAATGAAGGCTTAGTAAATACCACATTAAATTATCATTTGGGAATTTAAAAGAAACCCTTGAAGATCTGAGAATAACTAATAAAACAGATATACTCTTGGATCACCTATAGTTTGATTTACTTTGTTAAATCAGAAACCTGTGGAGACCAGCCAAGGACACAGTCAGTTCAGTTAAATGTGTCTGACAAAGATGGCGCATTGTGTGCTTTGCTTTTCCTGATCTTCATAAAAAACTAAATCCTTAATCCCACCGCAGTGAATAAGTACCCTTGGTTTAGAGAAGCCGCTGTGGAAGAGAAGGGAAAAGTGCAGATAAAAGATATATGGGCGTAAGGACTGAGAAGGGATAGAGAACATGTAAATGTGTCATTTTCATTTTTAATTGGATTTTTTCTTCATTGTATAGATTATTTCTTTTGCCAATGTCATTTATATTAATGGCACAGTGAAACTGCAGTAATATTTCACATCTATTTGTATCTACATTTATGGCACGTATTTCATCTTGAGAAGAGTTCTTGGCTTGGGGGAATCTTGACACTGAAGTCCATTCAGAGTGGTGGTGAGGACTGAGAGGACAAGTTGCACTTTCCTTCACAATTACTGCCTTTGGATGTGCCCATTTTCTCTCTATCTCTTTCTTCTAACCTCTTTCAAAAACTTTCAAGAACTCATATATTTTAATTGCCTTCTCCAAAATATTTACATTTTCATACAATTAAAGATGTTATATAAGTTAGTTGTACTTTTCTGATATGCAAAAGACAGACTGTGAAACTCTTCATTCAACATGTGCCGTATGCAAAGCAGGGCAGACAGAGATCTGAAAATTAAATCATTGACAATATATGCTACTGTGTAGTTGATTTTCAGTTGTTTAATAATAAGTATTTGGGGGCCAAATATTTATCGGGACAAAAATTACATAATGTGTCCTTTACTTCTCCCTTAGAACCTAGCACTGAGAGCTGAGCACTTAGTGGGTACCTAGCAAATGCTTATGGATTAACAAATAAATTTGTATTAATTATGAATTTATAATAAGGTGAAAAACAGTTTGATGGATGATGATGCAAACATTTAACCTTCATGTAAGTTTAGCCATATCTTCTTGAATCTGTTCCTCAACTTTTCCAAATGGACTCCTCTGTGGTTTTTCTGTATATGTCAGAAACACTCAAATGGTTCCATGAAAATTTTTATTGGCTATCTGTTCTACCTGGGGTCATCCACTAGCTTTATATGATCACAGAAAGGCAGTCAATGGGGAAAGTATTTCATAAAATCAGCAAGAGAAGTAGTGAACAGAGCTTATTATAAATCTGATTATGAACAAAATGTTAAAATATTGCTTTATAAAATTTGATAGAAGTGCTGAACAAAAAAGATAACTTTGTTTTTTAGGATTGATTAATGTGCACATGGTTGTTTCAGTGTAGCATTACCATCTTTTTTTAAAATCTACCTGATATTTTTAGCCATTTTAATGGTATTATATAGAAATAGCATTATTCTGAAGTTGTGGTATCAAAGATGATATCATGTCTGGAACTCACAGATCTGCAAAGCCCAATATCTTGCTCACAATAAGAGCTCAATAAATATTTGCTGATTGTTTCAAAAAACTAAGTACATATTATTTTATCAAAATTAACTTACATAAAGTCAGTATCAATGACTTATCAATAGTATCCTGCTTTAGTTGTTTCCCATTTGGTATGCAGTATATATAAAATTGAGAGATATTTAAATCATTGCTAGAAATATAACCTGACACAGTGAAACTATAACCTGACACAGTGAAACTGATAGATATGTAGAACATTGCTGGCAGTGAATCTATACCTTGATGCAGCTTCCCCAAATTATAATGTTAAAATTATTCCCTCATAAATTTACATTTCAGTAGAAGACTGTTAGATAGCACATCTCTGAACTATAAATCTGATCATATTACATATCATTGTCATGTCTTTTGCCTCTAAATTTGGAGACCCTATCAAGAATATCAAGATTGTCTTTGTTCTCTGACTCTAGCATCATAATAAGATCATTTTATTGACTGATTTCAATTCGGTGGTCAGGAATTAACAATGAAATATTATTATTATTACTATTAAATGTCACAGTGTAAGAAGGACAGTTTCTATAACCTTCATATTTAGTACAACTTTTTCTTTTTTTACATTCTGAGTATGACTCACAGTCATTCTTAGATAAGTACTCTTCTATAACAATCTACATAATGTAAATAATTTCTATATTCCATTTCAAAATCCAAAAACATTTATGATTAGCTTCTGAGATTATTTATGAAATAACATTTTGTAGCATTACTTGGGTCTATATGATATGTGTAAAACAGTGTATTTCAATTTGCATGTGAAAAATGTTAAATTATTCAGTATCAATATTAGAATACCGTCTGTATAAGACAAGTGGGCTATGGAAGCTAATAATTGGCACCATGTACCAGCTGCTAAACTGTCACTTTATTTCCATTGCTCTGTTTAAGCCTTACTACTGTGTCAGTTGAAGACTTTAATCCTTGTTTTGAAGATGAAGAAACTAATATTTATTCTATTTTTCAGGTTGAATTAATATTTTCCTCTTGAAAATTTGTTCTTGATTTTTAAAATCATATTAATTTTCTTCTAAGTTTTTTCCAAATTGTTGGTCAGTATTTTGAGTCACTGAGTAGCTAGTTGGAGTGAGTTAGTTATAATATTAATCAAGGTATAACTGTTGTCTGTAAATCCCAGGAGGTGGGGAGTACATCTTCGTAAGTGTGAAAAGCGCTTAGCAGAGTGCTGCTTTGAGATACAAAAGGACTGAAAAAATATAAAGCTGTACATGTCCCAGAAAGTGTACAGAATTTTATTTTGTGCCAGTACAATAAATGGTATAAAATTGTTCTCTTTAAGTCATTTAAAAAATTTAGAGATTTCTTCGTTTAAAAAAACTGTTGAAATGAAGTTGCCAAAATCCATGTTTCTAATGAATACTTACCTTATTGCCTCTCTGAATCAAAAACACTGAAATTAGTCTCTCTTAAATTAATAGATTCAAGATTCTAATGCAAAAAGGAAAAAAAAGAAGAGATCAGAGTCTGTCTGTTCTCTGGGTTATATGCTTGAGTAGGATCAGGGCACTATTTTCCTCATTACTTCACTTCTTAAAGCCTTGTTTGTTTCTTCTCTCAGAATGGACTCAACGCTCTCCATCTGGCTGCCAAGGAAGGCCACGTGGGGCTGGTGCAGGAGCTGCTGGGAAGAGGGTCCTCTGTGGATTCTGCCACTAAGGTAACATTTATGTTGGTAGAACATTTTTTTCCTTAGAAAAGCGAAAATAATTTAAAGCTTTTCATTTTTATTTATTTTTTAGACAAGGTCTCTTTCTGTTGCCCAGGAAGTAGTGCAGTGGTACAATCACGGCTCACCGAAACCTCCACCTCCTGGGCTCAAGTGACCCTCCCAACTCAGCTGCCTGAGTAGCTGAGACTACAGGCGTGCGCCACCATGCCCAGCTAATTAAAAAAAATTTTTTTAGTATAAATGAGGTCTTGCTATGTTGCCTTCCTGGGCTCTAGCGATCCTCCTGCCTCAGCCTCCCAAAGTGCTGGGATTATAGGCGTGAACCACCACACCTCACCCACTTAAAGCTTCTTTTCCCTCTCGTACATTTCAGAGGTTGGCTAGAACACCAAGATTCTTAACCTGCAGAATTAAAATTAAAACCCCCTCCATTAAACTCTGCAGAGTGAATTGTTTCATTTAAGGACTTATGGGACATCAGTCTGAAAAATCTGTAAACCTAGTTTATAAAATTTTATCTTTCCCCCTTCGATTCACAGAGGATGAGATTAACATAATCCTTTGTAGACAATAGCACCTGTTTTCCTACGGTTAACTCATTGTTTAAAAATAAACCCATGTGGGAAACTTCTCTATGGAAAAGAACAAGTAATTTTAAATGTATACATTCAGTTTGGTATGAGACTATGCAGAATCGTTTATACTCTAATAAGAAAAGAGATTTTGGGTCATGGATTGAATTGTTAGGGCAATATTAGATTTTATCATCATAATGTGTTTGGTAAGGAAATTGGACTCATTTTAAAAGAAATGCACGGGACGCTTGGCAAACCAGAAACTGTTCCTTGATGCTGCTTTTGCTAAAACATATTTGAACTTGTCGAGGATTCATTTCATAAACAACAGACATTTAAAAAACTATTATGAATGGCAACAATCTTTGCCTTTGGAAGGTAAAATTTTATTTGGAAAAATACAGTGCTAATCAGAGCCAAGTCTGCTGACCAAGCCTTGAATGTGATAATATGGCTGTGGAAGATGTAGAGAGAGAAGTCAGGCACTCTGGTCTCTAGATGGGACACTAGTCTAATCTGGAGTAAACAAACAAACAAAAAAGTACAAGAATAAATTAAAAACATGGCCAGTTAACGTGGATTTCCAATGCCTCATGCATAATTGACAAAATGTGCATTGGTTCTGCTTGTAGTATAGTAAACAGCAATTCTAGCAGAAATTAAAAAACAAAACAAACTAACAACTGGCAATTCCACAGAAGTAAACATGTGAATTCACTATATGCAATAAATTTCTTACTTCGAACATAAAGAGGGAGTAAACATTTTTATAAGCATTTCTCTCTGGCACATCAAATACATTTTAAACAAATATTTAAAGAATATCTATTTGAAGCCCAGTGTGCTGGCTCACATCTGTAATCCCAGCTACTTTGGAGGCTGTAGCAAGAGGAGCACTCACAGGAGCCTAGGAGTTTGAGGCTGCCACTGTACAACCCCACCATCTATTATTTTTTGTCTTTTTAGTAATAGCCATTCTGACTGGTATGAGATGGTGTATAGTTGCCCATGTTAATATAGTGTATTCATTAAGCCAATTATTTTTGCCTGCTTAAGTGTTTATTACTATTTTTGTTTTTCTTTTCTTCTAAACTCTGTTGATATTTTAAAAATTAGGCTTACTTTTAATCATAGAATTGTAGAATTTCCTGGAAAAGAATCTCACTTAAACAGAAAAAAACTGAAGCCCCCAAATATTAAGTGAGTGGCTAATGCTCCCACAGTGAGCTGGAGACAGAAAGAGAACTAGAGTCCAAACTTTATGGCTTGGAATCTACTGGTTTCTGGTTTTTTTTTCTTTTTGTTATTTATTTTAATCACATCATAGGTATTTTTAATCTCTTGGCCTTTATTTTCACAAAAGGTTTAAATTATTTTTCATTGGTGTTAGTGTTGTGGCTGGTAAATTTTGATGTAGCAAATGGTAGAAAATCATTGGTACTGTTATGATTTATGTAAAATTTATTTTTCTTATTCCCAACATATTCTCAAGTGCCCCAGTAGCTGCAAACATAACTATAAGCAGCTCGTTTCTCTACCACTAAAAATTCCTAGGTTTCTTTGCAAGGTGAAAGAAACTCAATGTTTCAGTAAACCTTTTTTTAGTTAATATTTCTTTGCAATAGGATTCTTTAGTTGTTAATTAAATTGCATGAATCTCATGAGATATTGACACATACACACACCCCCCACAAATTTTTGATTCATTGAAAATACAGTCATTCCGTGTTAACACTAAACCAATATTGTGAAAATAGAAAAGGAAGACACTATATGAGGTGGCCAATTTTTTTTTTTGATGGTAAAAAATAATCTCTTCGTAAGTGGGCTACTATCTTGATAAATAACAAATTTTAATCGGTTAAAGTGATTAGTGAAGTTGAAAAATGCCTGCACATTTTGATTTCTGCAAAATTCAGAAACCTTGAACATTTTCTATTTTGTTTCTCCAAAACAGAAGGGAAATACCGCTCTTCACATTGCATCTTTGGCTGGACAAGCAGAAGTTGTCAAAGTTCTTGTTAAGGAAGGAGCCAATATTAATGCACAGTCTCAGGTATTCCATTCAGATTTTCCCTGATGTACATACATTTAAATTAGAACAGTTTTGTGAAATTGATTTAATGTGTTTAGCTAGCTGTTCTACTGATAAATTTATTATAAGTGCTTTGTTATTTATTTTAGCCAAATAATTTTATTAACCTTTATGATGAAGCTTATTTTTTCAACATATAATCTCCCTTTTAATGTAACTTAACACTGGAAAAATGTAAGTCTATCATTGTCTCTAAGTATTTTTCAAAAGAATATAAAGTGATTTTTTTCAGAATGACAGTGACATCTGTGAAATATGAATTATTCATGCAAGTTTCGTGTTACTCTATAAAAGTATTCTCTTTCCGTAAATTTAAAATATACTTGAAAGATTTACATTCCAGTGGAAAATCTGCCATAAGGTGGGAATAACACTACTTTGGTCAGTTTACACCCCTAATGTGAGCTTTACTAATAATAAATAGGAAATGTATGGTTTTAAAATGAAATTAAGAAAAAATTAAACAATAATTATTTAATCAAAATTATACTATAAGCTTGATCCCTTTTTTTTTCTGGTGGAAAAGGGGAGAAAATGTTGTTTTGCCCAAAGCTTTACTCTTGATATCTATTATATCATGTACGCATGTGGGGATTGAGAAATATATCTTTATAATAAAATTCATTCTCTCTATTTTTAGGGTTTTCTCCTTTGCCTTTCTGATAACACAGACTATATCATGGAGGATATTAGCAAAATAAGCCAGCTCTGTTCCATCTATTCTTTGGGATAACCTCACCAGGTTGCCTTTGAAGGCCATTGTGTAGGAATATGTATTAACTGTATAGTTCATTCATTAATTACCTAGGCATGGCTCTAGTTCTATAGATGGCACAAGTTCTGGACCTAGAAAATACAAAAGGCAATGGTTAAATCAGCCCTATTTTCTTTGATTTTAATTTTGGGAAAAATCTGTTGAAATTATGATAGATAAGACATTATTTTTATCTTTGTAATATCATGCTATTTTAATTAGTCATGTTTTTTTCCTTACAACTCAAACCTTCAGTTGGATGCACATCAATGTTTTAATATGTATTGAGAATATGCCTTAGTCTAAAACCCTTATTAGATGAAATTTTTATAATTTGGTACCATCTGTAAAGAACATCTGTATATTTTATAAAGTATAACAGCATTTTAGGCTTGGAGAGAAAGGTCCCTGCAGAAGCTACTGCTCCACCTAAGTGATTCAAAACTTTTCTTTTTCAAACTTTATTTTACTTAGATTCAAGGGGTACATGTGCACGTTTGTTACATGGGTATATTATGTAATCAAATAGTGAACATTGTACCCAATAGGTAATTTTTCAACCTTCAGTCCCTTCTCCCCCTCCCCACTTTTAGAGTCCCTAGTATCTATTATTTCCATCTTTATGTCCATGTGAACTCATTGTTTAGCTCTCACTTCTAAATGAGAACATGCTGTATTTGACTTTCTGTTTCTGAGTTATTTCATGTAGGATAATGGCCCCCAGCTCCATCCATGTTGCTGCAAAGGATGTAATTTCATTCTCTTTTATAGCTGCCTAGCATTCCATGGTGTATATGTACCACATTTTCTTTATCCCGTCAACCATTGATGAACACTTAGGTTGATTCCATGACTTTGCTATTGTGAATAATGCTGCAATAAACATAAGGGTGCAGGTGTCGCATGTTCTCACTCATAGGTGGGAATTGAACAATGAGAACACATGGACACAAGGCGGGGAACATCACACGCCGGGGCCTGTCAGGGGGTGGGGGGCTAGGGGAGGGATAGTATTAGGGGAAATACCTAATGTAGATGACGGGTTGATGGGTGCAGCAAACCAATATGGTACATGTACACCCATGTAACAAACCTGCATGTTGTGCACATATATCCTAGAACTTAAAGTATAATAATAATAAACAAAAGAGTGAAGGTGTCGTTTTGACGTAACGATTTCTTTTCCTTTGGGTAAATACCCAAAGTGGTATTGCTTTGGGTATTTACCCAAAGCAGTAGGGGGATTGCTGGGTCTAATGGTAGTTACGTTTTTAGTTTTTTGAGCTATCCCAATGCTGGAAAACCTTTCTTTATATCAAGAGAACATCTTTTTGCTTTAGACAGAGGTTTTCAAACTTTAGTCTGCATCATAACCACCTGCACGGCTTGTTGAAACCCATGTTTCTAGGCTCCTCCCCAGGGTTTCTGATTCAGTTCTGGAGTGGAGCTGGGCAATTTTCATTTTTTACAAGTTCTCAGATGATGCTAATGCTACTAGTCCAGGGACCACATTTCTGAACTATGGCTTTAGCAAATGTGAGGGGAAACTGGGTGTAAGATATTGCAGTAAGATTCACAAGGTATAGATTCAACTACATGACTGAATCAATAATGTACTTATACATCATGAAAATGAAAGCCTGGTTAAATTCAATTGTTCAGTGGAGGTTCTCCTGACTTTGACAGGAAATTCACCTATACATTGGTGCTGTTAAAATCTGTGAAAAGACCATATTTTACTTTCCTCAAAATGACAAACATAGTGTTGTTATAAAAGTTGACTAGTAGCAAATGCTGCAAGGTAAATGCTTGTTAAAGCTGTGATACCAGTTATTACACAGTAGTTATTGGAAATGTATATGCTTTGGAGGCTTCTCACGGAGAACAAGCTAAAACCATTTAATCATTAACTCGCTTTCAGAGTCAGAGGCTTTTATTTATAAGGTATAATCATGCCAAATTATAACAGATCTTAAAAGAAGGGTTGTATCATTATTAAGACGTTAAAATAATCCTATTTGTAATTTATACTATTAGGTCAATTTAAGATTTATATTGCAGGGGATTCTGACAAATAGCTTCAAACTAACATTCATATTGTGCGAAAGTTTTAGAGGAAGAAAAACTAGTAATCAAATTTTAGAATCTTTTCTAAATGTTTTTCTAAGTCTTTTGATAAGGCCTATGACATTATTTCCTGTATTGAATTTATGTACCCATCATTAATAGTTGAAAAAAAGTATTATTACTTAGAATATTTTATAATATAATGATTAAAATTAAAATACATGAGGGTTGATTATTTTACCCCCTGTGTGTGAGCCAATCCCAAAACTGATGGTTTCAGAGCCACTGAGGGCTGATTTGAGTTCCTCCACAGATGTTATTTCCCTCAGTACTGTCTTATGTAAGATACAGGATTCTTTATGTGACAATATGGGGTGTCAAGTGGATGGATGGGAGACTTGCTTATGGCAGTTAAACAATCTCTTCCTTTTGAGAACCAGAAAAAGGACGTAGGGAATCCTGAATGTACAACAAAATGTCTGAATTTTGTATTCAAGTGATACCTTCTTCCACATCTTTCTAAGAACATAATTTAAACCACTGAAATGCAGAATAGTCTGAAATTATAGGAACATTGGCAGCTGCCTAGTACTATGCCTTTGGCAAACTTCCGAGTTATTTGCAAACAGACTGCTAAAGTTATTTTTGAATTAAGAAGATAACAAATTTTCTGAAAAAACCTTCAAGGAATATATTCAGTAAAATTTTTGGAATTATAGGTTATGGGGAAATACACACTTACGGATTTTTCTGCATTTTGCATATAAAGTATGAGATTCATGTGAGGCTTACCGCCACATGATACAGTACCAATTTTGGTAGAGAGTGTCCTTGGTTCATTAAGAGTTCCAGAACACCAGCTGGATCAACTTCAGTACTTTAAATGGTATAGTGTAATTGATTTAGTAACAATGAACAAATGTTTATTTTTGTTTCTTTGTTCAACAGTGGTATCAGTGTGGTCTCTGCTGAGCCAGTTCTTGGTGTGATTTTAAGTATTGCCCCTGACCATGTAGCTCTCTGGCTTGGTTCTTTGGTATCCTAGATTCAGTGACATGGAGGTCTCATCCATGGTGCCGGAATTATGGAGTTAGAAGTCAAAATCATAGAGTTGAGGAATGTTATTTGCTTTGAAGATGATTTTTTGCTTTCTGAAAACAAAGTCACTTGCAGAAGATCTTTAGTAGGCATCTTATCCTCTAAATAATCCTACATACGTGATGTTGGGATGATTTCCATTTAAGCTGTATGGGACATTTGTTTGGTCACTTTTATAACCTGTAAGTCTGTTAGACTCAGAGACATTACTTTTAAAAAAATGTTCAAATTTCAAATTCTATATTGCTATCAAAGAAACTCTACTTAGAAAGTTTTTAAAAAATATTCTCAAAATCATGAGTTTCTTTAAATACTTGTAGCACTCTTTGTTGACATTTTGCCTATTGATATTTGCCTATCTCTGATTGCAAAAAAAAAAAAATACATCTTTAATTTCTCCAAGATGGTAAACTTCTTGGGAGCAGATAATTTTTTCTCACACTTCTTTATAGTTTCAGGATTATGCATAATACCTTGCACATATATGATTGGAGGATGAATATATGCATGTATACTCTTTATGTATAAGTCTTAGCTTTGTTGTGTATTCCAATAACTCCTAACAGTAGACATTAATATTAATAATAATACAGGTAATAACATTGACTGCCAGGCATTGTCTCTAGTGTGTTGTGTACATTATCTCTTTTGATATTCCTTTACTTTATCATTATTGATGACAAATTGAGACTCAGGTGGCTCATTTACTTGCCCATAATCTTCATCCCCAGGCAATATTGCTTCTCATAGTTCCCGTAACAGTTCTACCTTCTCTACAGACCTCAAAGAATAATTTTTAAAATTCCTTTTTCTTCTAGCCCAAATCCTATTCAGGTCCAAATAAGCTGATTTTCTTAAAGTAGAATCCATGTAAAAGGTTTAAGATGGAATTTCTCACTTAATATTTTTTATGAACTATAAATGTCCTGCAAAATGTTCAAAAAATGAAGGATATTCTGCTGTTACCACCAAGGAAATCTGGCTTTAGAATTTCCCCCTTATTATTTTCTCCACAAAAAAAATATAATTTTTAGTTCTCATATAAGAGAATTTTTTCTTTAGATACTTATTATTAATATATTCTCTAATTATAAAATCATTAAAATCGGAAGGAGCACTCTAAATAAAGCAAAATTGTCTTAAAAATGTTTTTTATTATTACAAAGCAAATTGGTTTATATAATGTATATTTTTACATGATAAAAAAGGTAAACTGGATCCTAGACTAGACACCATCATCAAACATGAGAAGCTAAGCAAAATTTTGGAGAATGGGTATGGTAAATTTCCCTTCCTTTTAGGAAAATATGACTTTTTTATAGAAGAAGGGAAGGGCTAGAAGTTCTCATGAGGCTCCTCAAGAAGTTTGTGTCTGGGGCGGTCAGTCTGCCTTGGAGCAAATTCCAGTGTCACTAAACTACAGCCCAGTAATAATATCTTGCATTCAGACCCTTAATTTTAAATTGTATTTTTATTTATTTAATCTCATTTATAATTATGTGAATCAACAATGAATAGTCTCATTTTGGACATGGAAAAATTTGAGGCATAGGTAGGAAAACCAAAGTCTCATAACAATTAGTGATGAAGCCACAAACCTGTGGTCATTGGTACGGACACCTTCCTTCCAAATAATCCTAGGCATACCTCAGTCTTTCCCACTAAACTGTTGTACACCTTCTACTTGAATTAGGGAAGTCCAAAACCCTGCTTGCCTAGGCGCTTAGATGCTGCTATAACTAAGAGCCTTCCGCAAAGCTAGGCAACTAGTGAGTAAAGCGATTCAGGTGTACTGGGAGGGCGTATCCATAATCTGGGCTTCATACAACCATCCACCTCTTAGACTGTTCTTCAATCAAACAAAATTTTTAACATGTGTAAGACTTGGCCGGGTGCAGTGGCTCACGCCTGTAATCCCAGCACTTTGGGAGGCCGAGACGGGCGGATCACGAGGTCAGGAGATCGAGACCATTCTGGCTAACACGGTGAAACCCCGTCTCTACTAAAAATACAAAAAAATTAGCTGGGCGTAGTGGCGGGCTCCTGTAGTCCCAGCTACTTGGGAGGCTGAGGCAGGAGAATGGCGTGAACCCGGGAGGCGGAGCTTGCAGTGAGCCGACATCACGCCACTGCACTCCAGTCTGGGCGACAGAGCAAGACTCCGTCTCAAAAAAAAAAAAAAAAAAAAAAGACTTAAATATAATTTCTGAAATTGGTGATGTCCTTTTCAATTCATTTTTCTTATCTGTCTCTACATTCTTCTACTTGTTCTTGGAATTTCTTGTTTCTGTCCTCTCATAAGGATTCTAGAAACAGATTTGTTTTCTTTTCATCTTATTTTAATATCAAGTGAGTTCAAATAAGATGTTCTTACTTGGCATTTTTGATATCTCACTGAAAATTTATTTCCATTTTTATTGGTTATTTTTGCCTGTTTTGTGATTAATACTCTTTTCTTTCAATCCTGAAAATATTGTTTCAAAAGAAGGCTTTCCTATTTATAACTCAAGGATGATTAGGTGATTATTTTATTAGCTTTTGGATTTCTACAGACCACGACTATTAATTCCAGTTGTAAGATTATATCACCATTGGTTACACCCCCAGATTTATGGGGGTGCATGCACCCACTATATGCAATGATAAATGTCTTTTCAGTTGTGGCTTCCAATAGTTTTTTCTTCATTGGCCCTAACCCATTGTCACAGACAATGGAATTGAACTGTGAAGAGGAAGGAAACACACACAGTTGGTCAGCATGCCCATTACCTTGAATTGCTTCCATATGGTCTTAGAGCCATCCTTGGCTCTGAAAGCAAAAACTTGTAATGGAACATTCTGTTCTGTGACATATGCACAGAGACACACACATACATGGATGCACACATATGCACACACACACATACACACACAGTGTATAAAGTGGGATCTATAGTCACAGATTTTTTTAAACAGGTTTTATTTTCAGGGTTTTCCCCCAAAATATATGCATATGGTTCTTTTTTCCTCTTTTTTAAAATTTAATTTAAATTTATTTTAAGTTCCAGGATACATGTGCAGAACATGCAGGTTTGTTACACAGGTAAACATGTGCCATGGTGGTTTGCTGCACCTATTAACCCATCACCTAGGTATTAAGCCCAAAATGCATTAGTTAGTTTTCCTGATGCTCTCTCTCCCCCTGCCCCCTGACAGGCCCCAGTGTGTGTTGTTCCCCTCCCTGTGTCCATGCATTCTCATTATTCAGCTCTCACTTATAAGTGGGAACATATGTTTAGTTTTCTATTCATGTGTTAGTTTGCTGAGAATAATAGCTTCCAGCTCCGTCCATGTTCCCGCAAAGGACATGATCTTATTCCTTTTTATGGCTGCATAGTATCCCATGGTGTATCTTTCTTAATAAGGGTCTTGTTTTTTTTTCCATTGGGAGTATTACTATCTGTAATACAAATCCTTTGAAATTCAAATGAAGGCAGGTACTTGCATTTGACAAGGAATAAAAAAGAAGTCAGGACACTTGTGTTTTTGACTCTGAAAATCAGGCCACTGGGTGATTACAAATTTGCAGGGGCATCTGTGCTCCTCAGCACTCCAAGTTAAAGAAAATATGCTTTTTCCAGTTCTCTATATGCTTGGGAAAAAGATGAGAATCGATGTCTTTAAAGTTTTGCCCAGGCTGGGTGCGGTGACTCATGCCTGTAATCCCAGCACTTTGGGAGACTGAGGTGGGTGGATCACTTAAGGTCAGGAGTTCGAGACCAGCCTGACCAACATGGTGAAACTGCATCTGTACTAAAAATACAAAAATTAGCTGGGCTTGGTGGTGGGTGCTTGTAACCCCAGCTACTCAGGAGGCTGAGGCAGGGGAATCATTTGAACCTGGGAGGCAGAGGTTGCAGTGAGCTGAGATCGCTGCACTGCACCCCAGCCTGGGCAACAGAGTGAGACTCCATCTCAAAAAAAAATTGCCAAGAAAGACATTACTATTCTCTATTCCAGTAAAAAGCCAACACTAAAATTACTACTCTACAAAGCGTGCACACGCACACACACACACACACTCCCACATCCTAAAAGACAATAATATTTTCATTTATAATAAAGTAATTTTTCAACTTTTGAAATAAAATTAATACAATTATATTTTGCCTTTATGCTCATTTATCTGGGGACAGATGGTATGGAAAGGCTGAATCCTGCTTGTCATTTTATTCTGAAATTTGAATGAATAATCGAAGACATCATCACATCTAAAATCTTCGGTAGATGTCTCATTTATTTATCACTACACAGGCCTATCCAAGTCCAATGTTATTGCATTTTAAAGGAACTAAATTTGTAGTCAGTTAAGACTTGTAGGGAGAAAAGTAAATGGTCTCCAAGTTCTGTTAATAGAAATAGACTTCAAATTTTACATAAGAGTTACTTCTTTTTCTCCCCTTCTGAGTTAAAATGAAAGATAAGCTACTCTGGTAGTAAATGGTTAAAATAGTACTGTAGCATTCTGCTTCTTACCTCAAATCTAACAGCATTAATGTGTATATTCCACAACAACTAAGAAGCTAGGTGAAACCATCAAGAACCAAAATGGTGATCCTTTGAGGCAAGGATCACAAAGCAAAAAAAAAAAAAAAAAAAAGAAGAAGTAAAAACATGACACGAATTAAACTTTCCAATAGAAACTGATTGGAAGTAATAATTCACGCACTCACTCACTCAGCAGGTATTTGGGCATCCAGTGTGTGCCCTCGAACACTTGCTAAGCCTACAATGATGAGGTGGGCAGGGGGCATGCGGAAGAAGACCTAGGAAGTGGTAACTGAACTTCTTTTATAAAAGAAAGTGTTAATGCGCACATCAGCGGTCAGGGGATGAAGTGTGCTATGGGCAAATACAATCATACATGCAAGAACCTAAAAGAAATGGGCTATCTGGAAGCTGAAACATCCAGGGGAAATGCAGTGTATGAAATGAAGCCTGAGGAAGAAAGTCAGATCCTGAAAGATTTTATGAGCCATATTAAGGTTTTCGTTCTAAGACTTGTATCCTAAGCCCAATATGAAGCTGGCTTGGGGGTGGAACAAGCTCAGGATTCTGTTTTGGATTCTGAAAACATGACCCTGGTGCAGCTTGGAGAACAAGTCGAAGGGAGTCAGGTGCAATGCAAAGCAAATCATTTGGAGACCGTTGTCATGATCTACTCCATATAAGAGGTGATGTTAGCTTGGAATGGAGTAGTAGTGGTCTGGATGATGGAGAAAAGGGGACTGTTATAAGACTGATTAAGGACCAGTTTCAGAGCACTTGATGATGATGGCCTATGGGAGGAGAGGAAGACGATAGTGTCAATAGATCTCTCCCTTGCCTAACAGTATAGATGGTAATGCAACACTATAATATAAAACAGTGCATAAAGACAAAGATTTGTTTGTTTATTTTATTTTATTTTTTTTGAGATGGAATCTCACTCTGTCACCCAAGCTGGAGTGCAGTGGCATGATATAGCTCACTGCAGTCTCAAACTCCCAGGCTCAAGCAACCCTCCTACCTCAGCTTTCTGAGTAGCTAGGACTACAAACATGCACCAACATGCTGAACTAATTTTTTAAATGTTTTGTAGAGACAGGGTCTTGCTATCTCGCCCAGACTGGCCTTGAACTCCTGGGTTCAAGCAGTCCTTCCACCTCCACCTCCCAAAGTGCTGGGATTATAGGCATGAGCCACTTTGTTTCTGGTTTTGTTTTTGGTTTTGGTGAGGAGAGTAAGAGATCATGAATAGCATTTGAACTGCTTGTTATACATCCCTAAAAGAAATATAAGTGGTTATTACATCATTTGATGTAAATGGTTATTAAAGCAGTGGACTCGAATGAGACTGCCGGAGCAGTAAAGACAGTGAAGAGGCAAAGGGCATACTTCCCCTTCATCCTCTGAAGGCTGGCTAAAAATCAACTAACAGAAAGGCAGATTAATAGGAGAAAAGGAATACAAATGGATTAACATACATGGGAGCCATACAAAACTATAACAACTCAAATAAATGGCCAGATGATTGACACTTTTATACCATTTTGAGGATACAGAAAGAATAGGGGCCTGGAGCATGGCAAAACAAGTTATGGGAGGGGGAGAAGGCGAGGTCTAGCTAACAAAGGAGGTCTTGCTATATAGATGAAACCTCACCAGTAGTAGTAGCCCTTGGAGAAAATAGATGGTGAATGTTTCTTTCAGACCTTTGAAGATGTCAGACTCTCAGTTCACTTTTTCTAGATCCAGACAAGGGAGGGCCCACAGAGAAAGCCTGGCTGCATCAATGCAGATTCTCTACAGATGCAAATCTCCCCCACAGGACAGCTTTGCAGGGCTACTTCTTTTTGTAGGCCCTCTGAACGGCCATCTCAAAATATGTCAAAGAAGAATATTTGTTATCGAACCAAACTGGGGCCCACTCGCCCTGTATAGCAATACCAGATATCCACACCAAGGTTTTCAGCGGGAGAAAGGAAGGTGTTTATTGGCAGGGTGCCTAACAAGGAGGATCAGGCAGCTCATGCTTAAATCCTGACCTCCCTGATGGCTTGCAGGTAAAGATTTTTAAAGGCGGGGGTAAATTTCAGAAAGCAGAAGTTACAGGCAAAATTGTAAATCAAAACATGGAGGTTCCACATTGGTTTTGGCCTAAAAGGTCAGAGTATCTTGAAGCGGAGGACTTACAGGTCACAGATTTTCTGATTTGCAGTTGGGTAAGGAAGAGAAGCTTTGTTTAAAAATGTAGGGTCAGCAGAAAAGAATGTTAGCCTGGGTTCATGGGCATGACTTTTTTCAGGCCCCTCAGGAGGAAGTGTAAAACAAAGAATGTTGGCCAGAGTTCAGTCCTCCGTTCCCCCTTACCAGGGGCTTCTGTGCCAGCAGATCTATTTGGTGGGGGTCTGGGTTTCTGAGACAGAACTCAGAGACATATGTTAAGATGTTAGCTTTTGTGCCTATAGGGGAACCAAACATCTTGTGATTCTAGCTTCCTTGGCTGCTATTACCTTCTTGCTCATCAAGTTTCTTATTTACTTCTCAGGGTTAGCTACATGCCTGGAATTCCCCTTGAAGGAACTCAAGATTTTCCTTTATTTCTATGCTTGGGGAGCCTGCAGGTCCCTAAGAGGGGATCCCTGCTCTGTCTTCTATTTTGGGGATAAAATATTTTGGTTTCCTTTACCAGCAAGAGATAGAAGAGGGTTTATGTTTTAGGGACAATTTTCACATTGAAGAAAATAAGATGAAGAAAATTTGAGGCATATGTCAAAAAAACTGAAAAAGTTATAATAATTGACCAGAGGACTTTGGGTCCTTAGTATAAAATGAGTAAAAAGTAGCAGGCTTGGAAGAATTAAAATGAGAGCTAATCAAGTCCAGTGATATCAGCATTTGATTTAAACCTGGACTGTCTTCAGTTTAGCACTGGTTAGAAGCAAGAATCCAGAGTCAGATAAACTAGATTTAAGTACTGCTTCCATCACTCACTAGCCTTGTGACCTTGGACAAGTTATCTCCCATTTCTGTGCTTCAATTTGCTTATCTGTAAAACAGGTAAGGAATAATTACAGTACATAAAATTGAGTTTTTGTGAGGGTTGAAAGAAATAATTATGTAAAACGCTTAACACAATCCTTAGCATATAGGGGCACTCTACGTTAGTTGCTGTTGTTATATTTATTATTTTCATTGTTAGCTTCATGAGCATGGGAAGGCTATTATACTACCTTTGTGGGAAGCACGAGATCAGTTTTTGTTGGTTCTTTAGGTCCTGAATTACTTTCCCTCCCTATTTATTAGATTTATTGATTCTTAGGAATAAGAGGACAAGGAAATCTAAATTCATTCAAATAATTCAAATCTAAATTTGCATTCAAATAAAGAATATTGCACTCAAATAAAGAATATCAGAAAGAAGCAGAGGAGAGCAGTGGAAATAAGTATTGCTCAACAAAATCTATAAGGACTGTTGATAGAAACCTGGTAACTTAACTGATGGAGAAGAGAGATGAAGAATAAACCAAATTCTATACATTCAACTGTATCAAGATAGTCAGATCAGAGATTTGGAACTTCTATTCACAGACAATTATAATCTGCCAGACTAGGAAAGGATTCTTGCATCAATGTGAGCACAATGTATCGAGCTAATGATAATTTGTGCATCATTCTTGTTCATAACTCACTAACATTTGACAATTGGACCAGGTGCAAAGGCTTGAGAGGTGGCAGCTCTTTTCCTTCTTTCACGTAATGTGCCATTGATTAATAATCAAACAGCTTGCATTTTGGAGTAAGTCTCCACAGACAACATCATCTAAGATGGATGTTTTGGTGTTCTTCCTATTTCTTGAAGTTTTTTTTAGAAAGATCTCAACCTTCTAGGTTAGCATTGTGCATTGTGTTTTGACCAAAAATTGTGGAAGCAATAAAATGTAGATAGTGTTTTAACTATTTTGAAGACAACTTTTCCGTAAACAAATGCAAATATTTTGCTTTACTTGGGGGGTGTGAGAGCCTCTTACATTCTTCACATATTATACTCTTAACTAAATCACTTCAGTGTATAACTGGAAGGGGCTATTAGAGACATTGTGTCCATAACACTTATTACAGGAATTTGAAATTCACAGGGTCAAGTGTCTCATCCAAATTTGTGTCTTCTGATATCTGGCTAAATACTCCATATGTTTGTAACATGAATATATTCTATTTTAAGCAATCAAAACAATGCAAAAGTATATGGAGAACAAACCTAATTCTCCATTCCCAACTTTCAAGTACAATGGCCTTTCTCAGAAGTATTTTTTTTGTTCCTTTCTATACAGTTAAATTCTCTTTATGCTATATTATCTTGCTTTATAAACAATTACATCTTTACTGCTCCTTAATGGAGTTCTCCAGTTATATATGTCTAAAATCCTGAAAAGCGTGACAATATTTATTGACAATATTTTATTACAGCTTAATACATAATTTGCATAGATGTCAGGCATTGCTTTCTTCATTTTATACAGAGGAAACTGAGAGTTTAGGTAACTGCCTATGTACCAAAAGTGATTTGATTTAAACCCCAAACTTTGATTAATTACATAATCATTCTTGAAAGATGAAAATTGTAATCTGTATTATATCTTATTTTTTTCAAAGTTTTCATATTTGGTGCAATTACTAATAACTTTTTTTCAGATATTATTCTTTAGTGTTTATTTCCTTTCTTAATTGGGAAGATATGCAAAGCCCAGTAATTGACTAAACATGGTAAATATAAATTTGAATGCATGTACAATACAGTTAGCTATAGCTATTAATACCTATCTATGTGTAATAATTGGAATCCTCTGGTTATTTCTACTCTTTATTTCTACTCTTAAAGCTATGAAGAAGAAGTTTTTAAGACTTTAAAATGGCCAGCGATCTCTTTTGACATTGACTGAGGTAGGCAGCATAGTGAAATGGATAAGAACGCAAATTCTGAAGCTAGGTGGTCAAATCCCAGAGGTCAAATTTCAGCTCTTCTGCTTTCTACTCATGTAACTCATGAGCTATTCTGCTTTCTACTCATGTAAATGTGTCTCAGAGTTCTCATCTGTGATAGGGGGATCATAATAACAGTACCTTCAGCAAACAGTTGTTGTGAGATTAATCCATGTTCGGCATTTAGAACAATGCCTGGCAATTCTAAGAGCTCAATGACTGTTAGCTGTCATTGTTACCAAATTCAGCACTAGTGCAGCCATGCAAGACCAGCCATTCTGTATGCCCACTGCTGCCTTTTCTTGGCACAATGAAGAACATAACAAAGTCAGTTTGTGTGACTGGCTTGTTTCACAACCTCCTTAGAACACTGTCAATTTGAGTATATGAAATTGCATTCACCTAAACACAATGCCTAAAGACCCTTAAGTAATTTAATTGTTAAAACACTTATAGTATAGACATTGATCTCCTACTGAGACTTGAAGCTTCAAGCTAATGGGAAAAAGAATGAAGATTCTCATCTTAGATAGTCTGGATGGTGAAAATAGAAGTCCAACTAACAAAATGTGTTTTAACCAAATATTATTTTTGAAAATCACTTTCAGAAGGTAATTCTAAGTCTGGAAAATTCTAAATGGAATATCACAAACCTAAAATGTATTGTGTTTACATTTGCTTGTGTCATAATAGTAAAATGATTTTTGAAGTGTCTATAATATAATATACCTTAGAACAAAGTATCAGTGAAGCTAAAGTCACAAGTTTAAAAATGTGAAGAACCAATTTTAAGCTGCTATTTAAAAGATATCTAATGTTCTTGATTATATGGGCTAGGTTTCTATAAATGTAAAGTTCCATGCAACACCTGCTATTTGGGCAAATACTATGTGGGCAGCTGTCTCAAATATAAGTCTTGAGAAGGGCTAATAGGTCATACTTTTATGGGTCAGTGTAGTGTTCCCCTATAATATAAATCTTTGATTCAATATTTTAATATTCAAGTGATTCATTAATATATGCAAATAATTTACATTGATTTAATTTAAATTTTAATCTGCAAATATGCCCTCTGGAATCAGCCCGATATTCCTAGTTGGCTAGTTTTAAAATTTTAAAATTAATTCCAGATTAAATAGATCAATAGATTAAATGTTAATAATTGTTGAAAAGCATCCAACTAGGAATATCAGGTTCTTTGCAGAGGAAACGTTCCAAAAACCACTGCAAACATCAGTATTCTCATTAAAGGCAGTAACAAGAAAAGGATTCCTGTTTGCGATACTATTTGACATTGCAATCAATCCCTAGCCAGTGCAATGAAAAGAGAAAGAGAACTATGAATATAAATGGAAAAAGAAACGACAAAATGCTGTTTTATTTATTTTTTTTTTTTATTTTTTTTTTAAGTACAATTTCCATTTTATTTTTCTCCAGAGAATAGCCTGTCTTCAGTCTTTAAGAACTCAGCTCCTTACATGGGCTTTGGTGGGGGACGTGGGGCAGCACCCGCAGGTCTAAATCGGGGTGGGGGTGTTCGGTCCTTGCGGGCTTCACGAGATCGATTCCTGACTACTTTGCTGTGAATTGCACAACTCACACAGTAATGTAGCTTCACATACAGCTTGGGAAGCACATAGGCATCGAAGACGCTCGCTTCAGAAATGTCCCTGACTGCTGCGGCCTCCACTATGTTTCGAATGACGAATTTCTTAATGGCCTTGTCCTTGGGCACGCATCGGGCACAGTTAGTGCAGCGAATAGGCTGCACGTGGCCGCGGCCCTTTTTGGCACGACCATTGTTCCTTCTTTTCTTTGTCATCTTGGAGGCACGGACCGGAGAGAGGAGCCAAAATGCTGTTTTATACAGAAGTTATGATTATTTAAATAAACAATCTGGAAAAATCTACAAATCAATTAATAAAATATTTATTACATTCATTAATTTATTAAGAGCCTGTTGCTTATAATATTCAATACCATGAATCACAGAATTGTTTTGTCATGGTATTTGACTAATATTTTCTTCAGCCTAAAGGTTGACATGAATCATTCTGTAAAAAATTTATTACTAAGAGTATTAAGCAGCAAGTTTTTATGTATGAGCATGGTAGGTTAGGACTTTAAATATCCTATCTGAAATTAGACTCGTGAGGCAAAGGTCAAGGCATCAGAGGGTGCTTGCATGACTAACTTCAACTATATTTTTTATTCTTTTCAAATCACTGGGAAATTTTTGTGTAATAATTTTGAAATGCCATGAAATCATATCACTGTGAAAGTACACATCATTTCACTTACAAAAAGTGGCCCTTTAGAATGGTGGATTTGCAGGAATCAAAACACATGTGAACCAACAATGTCATCAAAAGACATTTATTAACTATTTTATTGTACAGGAGACTCTCCTGTATGTTGTCTGAACATAACTGGGTACAATCTTTTAAATCATACCCCTTAAAAATGTTATGTTTAAATAACATATTAACTGGAAGACATGAATAGCAGGAAACATACATAATATAATAAAACCTTCACATTAAAATAAAAAACAACATGGGAGAGCAAAATAAAGACATTACTAAGTGAGGTAAATGCAGGAGCAGGGCAAATCCCACTCTACTTCTGAACAGGAGAGGAAAGGCAATGAAATATGTTTCATTAATCCACTATTTGTGTGACCTTGGGCTTATTACTTAACCTCTTAGCGACTCCATTCCCCATCTGTAAAGAAGGGATAATAGTATTTACTACAGAGGGTTGATATAGAGATTAAATGGGTTAGTACACTTATAATGCATGTAATAAGTGCAATATAAATGTTAGCCACTTTTCTAATCATTAGATATATTTGTATTATCTACTTAAGTTATTGAAGAAATAAATTGACTGGAGTTGAGAACAATATTGCCCAAAATGGCTAATTCTCCATTGAGACTGAGAGATTACTATTTTCTGGAGTGGGGAGTGGAGAAAAGATTGTACAGAAGTTTCATCTTTTGTGATTAGCAGCATATTAACTTTACCTTGGTATAACATAGTTTTGGAACACAGGGCCTGAATGTGAATAATTAGAAAAAGCATTTGCTACAAACAGCCAGAAAAAAATGAATATATTCATTAACTATATACCATATGCCAAGCACTGTTCTAGCTCTGAGAATGCAACAATACAGTCTTTGCTTTGCTTTCTTAACTTTTGGTAGTTAAACAGTTAAACTAAAAACACAAAAACAAAAACAAAAAAACCCACTTTTTTTCTTGTGTTATCTTCATCTACAATTTTTCTATCTTCTATTATTTTATCATAACTAATATTTTTAATTCCAGTATTTACTTAACAAATTTATTTATACACAACTTAATAAGGAAAGGTATTATTTGTCTCTTCTTATACATGAAAAGCACATTTTGAAGGCTGAAAATAAAGGATTATCTGCTTAGAAAGAGCCTTTTTTCCCAACTGTTAAATCGGGCTACTCTGTCATCATTTTCTTGTGGTATTTCAAGTTTCAGATTCTAAATCTTCCACCTTACACTAGGAGCAAGCATTTCTGGCATAACTATTTCATCACTAATATTTATCATCATCTTTCAATTGACTGAGAAAATGACTAAAACAGTATAAATCTTCATAAATTATTTGGCAGTTTATTGTTACCTCCTGATTTTATAGTCAAGAACTGTTTGAGGCCAAGCTACAGAATACTCTCAGCAACCTCAGACAATAAACACTTTCTCGAAGCCTATGCGTAGCACAGTTTATAATGCCAGGAAGGGGAAGCACTATATATTGACATATCTCATTCTAATTTTAGACTTTTAAAGGTGCTTACATCTAAACACCCTGATTCTTTACTTAGAAGAATTGGTGAATACTCACTTGCCATAGCTAAAAGAAAGATAAGGAGGTAAGAATCCTGTTGATTGCCAATGAAATGCCTTATGAAGGCAATTAGGCCTGTTAGGGCATCATCTTTTGAAAGCACAATAATAAATATCATTTCAGAGGCCAAAATAATTATTGTTTTGTGCAGTCTTGCTCCAGTAAACACATCTAACAGATCATCCTTATCAGTTTTTGGGGGTACATTTTGAAGCCAATATACCCAGGAAGAACAACACTCAGAACATATTTTTGTTTAAAATCTGGCTCTGAACACAAGTATAACGAGTGGGCAGAGCATACTTAGGTCCTTTTAAGTAAGAGCTTTGAGGAGCAACACCTTCCCTTAAAGTTATTGGGGCCCAATTTGTAGCTTTTGTACTTTGGGATCAAGAATTTTATCCATCCAGATTTTTAAGGCAGTTCAAACACTATTTTTTTTTTTAAAGGAAAGGCTTGCTATAGAACGTCTTTGTTGGAATGAGGCAGCTTCTGTGTCAGTAAGGGTACATCACACTCTACAATTTTCACGATTTGCATGAATCAACCTTGCCACATCATATGCTAATCAGAGCTTATTCCTCTGATGAAAACTTACCTTCATTTAATAGTGATTCTTCCCTCGACACATATGAGAATTCTTCCAAAGAACAGCCACCGGTACACTAGACAGCCAACTGTGTGTTCTCTGTCCTTTGTATGAAATCATCATTCTAGATGGCCAAAAACAAAAAGCAAGTTCTCCTTTATCAAAATATGAGAACTCCCATCTCTATCACATTTCCCTTTTTTCTGTGGCTGCCAAAAGCCCAAGTGTTCAATTATTGTACCTCGTTCATTCTGAGTTCTGGTTACCACCACTAGAGGACTACAACTAAAGTTTGTTCGGGGTTGCACTTATAGCCCTATCTTGACTGTAGATATATATTTTAACCATATATATATAAAGTGTTTCAAGTAGCCTTAAATTTTTGAATGTGAATGTATTTCAAGGTATAAATTATAACTAAATACTCCAAAGCAGCGGTTGCCAAGGACCGATTTTGTTGAAGACATTTTATCCATGAGCAGCGGATGGTTTCAGGATGAAGCCGTTCTGCCTCAAATCATCAGGCATAAGATTCTCATAAGGGGTGCGCAACCTAGATCCCTTTCACAGGCAGTTCATGAGAGGGTTCGTGCACCTGTGAGAATCTAATGCCATCTCTGATCTGACAGGAGGTGGAGCTCAGGCGGTAATGCTCACTCGCCGCCTCTCCCCCGCCCCGACTCACCTTCTGCTGTGCGGCCCAGTTTCAGTACCGGTTCATGGCCTGGGGGATGGGGACACTAAGTCTCGGTACCGAACTGAATGGTTCCATGTGTTGTCTACGTGAGGTTTTGAGTCAATGCGTTGAAGATGTTTATTCTTTGAGGTTTTATCTTTGGCAAGTTGTGAATTAGAATTTGTTAAGCAGCTGCTAAATATTGAGTATATCACTTTTTGTGTAGTGTAATTGTCTTCTCCATCTCAGCACTGTCTGGGCACACTGCCTGCTCTAACTGCCTAGCAGCTTTTAAAGACCTTGGATAAGGGTAAGTCAGCACAGATAAAAACCCACACTTAGTAATGGACAAGATCTATAGTAAGACTTTCATTGTGCTTAAATTGCTCTGTTGTTCAAACATTATAAAACCTATTTATAACCCCTTGTTCTAATGCTCTAACCTTTACTGGTAAAATACATGTAATATGATATGAAACAAGACTTTGATTATTTTCAAAACTGTTAATACCAGACATGGAGTGAGAATAGCATTATAATTCTGACGACTGTTGAGAAAACACAGCAACTATTTTAGAATCAAAAAAATGAACCTTTTTCTTTGGAAAATTTTTTAAAATTTGGAATCCCCTTGGAATGTGTCAGTATATTTGTGTCAGAATGCATGTTTTAATTTTTGAATTGCCCTGCAAAGTTAATTGTCAGTTTAACAGTAATCATTAAATGACCAAAAAAAAAAAAAAATGACTGACATTGATGAAGAAAGCAATAACTTCATTTGATTGGAGATTTAGATTTCCTGGGTGTATATCTCAGGCGATAAAAAGTGCTATACTGCTACCATCTATATTTATTAACAAAGCCAAGTCTACTAGCTGCAGTTGACAGGAGTATAGGAAATGTGACTTTAGATGAGTTGGTCTAACCATATCATATAGTGTTTTGATGTTAGGTGTGTTTTTAAAAACTTGGAGCAGCATTTTATTTTCTCAAAGACAGTTAAGTAGAAATAAGAAAACTATTTGGTAGTCATTCATTTAAATAATTTTGGGGGGTGTAATGCATGAGAGAAGTAAAAGAGTTATGGCTTATTCTAAGTGGTTTAATCTAGAAAGTCATTTTTTATTTTTATTATATTGAATCAACCTTAAAATGGTAGAACAATAACCAGTTAAGTTAATACTGTAGCTTAATGCAAAATAATTACTTCAGGTTAATGGATTTTGCTCTGTTGGGGGAAAATAAAAGCACCCTATAGCGATTGTTATTGACTTAATTTTCTCAATGCCATAGGCCTATACAAAGTAGTCAGCATTTTTGCTTTTGGAGGTAACACATTTTCTCTTGCTTCTAAGTTACTAGGTCATGTATTAAATTGCTCAATATACCTATTTTAATGCACTGGCTACATGCTGAGCAAATTATACTACATACTGAAGATCTGAATCTAGTAATCTATGTTGTTAGACAATTTGAAAGTCTAGAAAAGTTTCTTTAAGGAAATCTACCAGGGAATTAATTTCTACCCAATTTCAATATTCAAATATTTATTAACTTTACACTAAAATTTCTTCTCTGACATTTAGACATTTTCATTACTTTTATAACAAATTGGGTACAACAACTGTAAAATTTAATTTTTATTATTTAAATTAATTATGCATATAAAAATAAAGGCATTTATATATTATTATAAAATTTTATGTGATATGGTGAGCAGCACTTAATCTAAAATAAACTTAATATTTCTATTGACAACTTAAATAAAAGCATTATACATTACAAAAAACAATGAAGAAAAGCCTACTGCTGTGTATCTTATTTTGTGTTTTCCCCTCACACAGAAAAAGTATTTTTAAAATCTCATCACTTGCAAGAGCAGATTTACTTTCTTACTGAAAATGATCCACCTGCTTTTTTGTAGTTTAACCTCATACTTGAAAATCTATTTTAGATTTTCTCTGCAGATGATGTGTCTCAGGGTCACTAAATAATATATTTTAACCATAATAATGTTAAATTATGTTTTTCTTACTATTATTTCTGTGACGTGTTTTATGATACTCTTCAGATTTCCTGGAAAATGCTCCCTTATAAACTAATGGCAGTGGTACAAACTATATTTTGGTATATACCAGACTAGGATATACCAACTAGGATACCTTCAATCACAAATAAGAAAAACAGCTCCTCATTAGATAAACAACAAAAAGGGGGTTTTCTTGGCTTTCATAAATAAAAAATGTAAATGGGTATAATGAGCTCTAAGATTGCCTCCTGCCCATCTGGTGGCTCATTCATAACCAAGGACTCAGAATTGTTTTTTTCCTCTTTGCTATAATTTCTACAGTGCCAGTTTATCCTCACCTGGCTTTCCTTGTGGTCCTAGGATCGGAACCACACATTTTCTTGTTCAGACTCAAAAGAAGGGAACATGTCTGTCCTAGCTTTCCAAAAGAGAATTCGAGTTTGGTGGATTGAACCAGCTTAATTCTCTTGCTCAAACTTAAACCAGCATTACCAAGAGAATGTAATCTGCTGATTGGCTTAAGTCATTTGATAACCTGTCTGGGCCTAGGAGATAAGGAGAGAAGTTCAGCTTTATTGTAATTATGTGAATCTTACTGGAATTATATGGGGAAACATAGGTACTCTAATGAAAAACCAGGATACTTCCAAGAAAGAAGGAGGATCCTGGGTAGGCACCTACAAATACCCACTTCTATAGCTTGGATATTCCATTTTTAAAAAGTTGTATGTTTTGTTTTTTTAAAAAATTTATTTGTTTTCTTTTTAAATTTGTTTACTTTCTCTATGATTTTTAAAATATTCATTTGCTTTCTTATTTTTTGTTTGGAAATCCAAAGACATAAAAAACAGAATTATTCCATCATAGCTTAACAGTTTAGCAAGGTCTTTGTTCATTTTTGCAAAGTGAAACAGAGAGAGAAAAATGTTTTGGAGTTATGTGAGAGTAAATAAAGCATTACTAGCCATCTCAACTTTTCTGTAGAATGGGGTGATGGTAATTCAGCTATTAAATTCAAATGTTGAATAAAGGAGAAAAACACAAATCTAAGTCATCTATAATTGTCAGGAACTAAGGAAAATAAGGCTAAAAGTAAACTTTTAGTCAATCAACAGCTATTTATTGGACACTTACTATGTTCTCAGCACAATGCTGATTTCTATGGAGGATTCCAATCAAGTGTAAGAGAAGAAGCTGCTTTCACGAAGTGTATAGGCTACACACAAAGTCAAGGTGAACACACAAGAAACAAAGGCAAGCAACAGAAGACACTCTTGGTACTAAATTATATGGAATAGACTGTGTACTAGAGAGGAAGATTTGGAATAGCCTAGATTTTGTTAACGAAAAACTCACAGAGGACTGGAGCCAGGCATTGACTCGTAGATAAGGTCTGCAGACAGGAAAATGCAAAGGAAGACTTTGCAGATGGGAAGATTAGTAACAACAACGTGAGGAGGTAGAATTGAGCATGTGAGTGTAGAAATAGTGGTGAGACAAGTTGGTCTGGAGCAACATCACAATATGTATTAAAGGTTTGTTTTCATTATAACTTACTGAGTAAAATGGGGCAAGGATATAAAAGGTCTTGATGTTCAGTTATTGTCTATGAAAACTGATCTCCAGGGCTGGGCGCGGTGGCTCACATCTGCAATACCAGCACTTTGGGAGGCTGAGGTGGGCAGGTCACTTGAGGTCAGGAGTTTGAGACCATCCTGGCCAACATGGTGAAACCCTGTCTCTACTGAAAATACAAAAATTAGCAGGCATGGTGGCACAGGCCTGTAATCCCAGCTACTCAAGAGGCTGAGGCAGGAGAATCGCTTGAACCCGGGAGGCGGAGGTTCCAGTGAGCCGAGATCGTGCCACTGCACTCCAGCCTGGGGGACAGAGTGAGACTCCACTTCAAAAAAAAAAAAAGAGAAAACTGATCTCCAGTCACAGTCAGTAAAATGACAATGTAGATAAGTAGTTTGTTGAAAATAGATTTTAAGAAGATTAATTCAGGTTGCTGTATAGGATGCACTGGAATGAGTAACTGGAAACATGCAAAATAGTTCAAATGCTTTCTTGGTAATTTATCCATGAGAAGCTGAAAGCAGGGATCATGGTAGACCCAGAGAGAATACAGTATTTTCTTTCTGTTTGCTGGCAATAACCAGACATGGTATAATATCATCTGTGGAATTTGCTGTTAAAACACATGGCAGAATAGTGTAGTTGAAAGAACATGAATTTTGGAATTAGTTAAACATGGGTTCGAATCCCAGCTCCATGTTTTAAGTAATGTGAAACTTCAGGCATGCTTCTTAATCCCTGTGAATGCTAATTTCCTTGAGTCATATAAAGATACAGTATTTGTTTCAATGGACTGCTGGCATTAAATAACGAATGTAAAGTGCTTAGACTTCTCTCTTCTTACTAACACCACCCAAATTTCTTACCCACTGGAAATAAAAACTGGAAGAATTCCTATGTCTAAGAAAACATTTGAACATTCTTCATCAAGCAGGTCATAGAAATTCCATAATGTCACAAGGCAGAGCTTTCCAGCTCATCCCTAGTAAATGGCTTAGGTGAAAGTAAAAGGAAGTTAATTGTCCAATTGCTAGATAAAAGTACAGGTGTTCTCTGAAACAATTTTTTTTTTTTTTTTTTTTTTGGCAACAGGGTCTTGCTTTCTCATTCAGGCTGGAGTGCAGTGGTGCAACCTCGGCTCACCGCAACCTCTGCTTCCTTGGTTTCAGCAATTATCCTGCCTCAGCCTTTTTGAGTCTGAGGCAGTTTGATCCTTATTGAAAAGGGCAGCTGAGGGAGTAAAAAGAGTACTGAGTTTGGATCCCTTTAGGGTTCAGATCTTGGTCTCACCACTTGGTGTCTCCTTGGGTGGATAACTGTGAGCCACAGTCTCATTCGTAAAAGGAGCCTAATAGCATAGTTGTGGATATAAAACAGGATGACACAGTAAACACTTGATAAAACTTAACCTCCCCAGAAAGATTTAGGACATTAGTCATTTTAATGTCATTGGATAGTTTAACTATGAACTAATCTTTTAATCATCTTTGGAGAGAGGAAAGTAGTTAAAATAATTTATAATATCCTAACCCTGGCTAAGAATTGTCAACTTCAGATTATCTGAGAAAATGTATATGATACTTTAATTAATAGGATGCCTTCTTAACTATTAATACTAAACAAGTATATAATCATATATTTTGTCCTTTTCCCTTAAATGCTCCCCCAGAGTACACAAAGTAGTCTTTATTTTTGTGACTACAATTAGTACCCATTGGTTTTTTACATCCTTTGCAGCTGTGCCTTCACAATATATTTAGGGAAATAATTTGAATCATCCTGACCTTAAAGCTTGGTGACAATTTGGGGATGTTTTCCAACTTATCTTTCATAATGCTAATTCCAAGGAAGAAGAAGATGCATAGTTTCTGGGATGGGAATTAGAGTAGTATTTCCCAACCAGTGCTAACTGGAGTCTGTGAACATCCTCCTAGCATGTCGTGGTTAAGGCTGCTGAAGAGTTCTGCTCTGTGAAGAAACTTAAATCTTGACGTTGACCTGCCTGCAAAAGATGGGGTGCTTCTTCAAAAGAGGAAGTCTACTTACAAAATTTGAACCCAGATCTTTCTGTAACGATTCTTATTTCCTACTGTTGGACTTGGTTATGTAACTTATTGAGTGTGTTTTCCAGTAAATATAGAGTATATAATACTCTCAGAAAACTGGAAATAGCACATGGAATTAAGGGTATTGTAAAGATTTAGAGCTGTAGATTTTAGAGGTTCCAGGTAAGATAGCATTTGAAGAGCTAAATGACTACAAAATCTGAAAATAAATGTCTAAGATATGAGTTTCTTTTCCAAACAGAAAGGAAGCATACAAGTTGTAAGAGATGTGGTTGGCAGGGTAGGTGAGGGCCAGATTATGTAAGACTGTATTAGACTTTATGTCAGTTGGCTATTGCTGCATAACAAATTATCCCCAAACTTAGTGGGGATATTATTAGCTTAAAACAGCAATAAATATTATCATCACAGTCACTGTGGAGTGGTGGCTTAGTTGTGCAGAGTTTCTCATAAGGTTGTAGTGAAGATGTTAACCAGAGCTGAATTCACCTGAAGGCCTTTCTAGGGCTAGAGGATTCCGTCCAAAGCTGATTCTTTCACATGTTTGGCATGTTGGTGCTAATTGTTGGTAGAGGGGTCAGTTTCTTCCCCCTGTGAGTCCTTCCATAGGCTGCCTCAGTGTCAGCATAACACAGCAACTCATTTCCTTCAGAGAAGATGATCCAAAAGAGACAAGAAGGCAGAAGGGCAGTGACTTTTAAACCTTAGCCTCAGAAATCACGCACCATCAATTCTGCCATCATCAGTGCTTTAGAAGCAAACTACTCAGATGTCCTCCATTCAAGAGGAGGGAAATTTGGCTCCACTTTTTGAAGTGAGGAGTGTCAAAGAATTTGCAGGTGTATGTTAAAACCACCACAGGTATAAAAAGGAATTTGAATTCTGTTTTACTTTATTCCTTTATGTAACAAATATTTACTGAACACCTACTAAGTGCTAAGCATTTTTATGGGCACTAAATAAAGCCTCTCAGAGAGAGTAACACTTATGTCGAGGCCTGAAAGATTAAGAAGATATGGTAAGAGTTTCCAACATCTCTGCACTTGCTGTATCTGTTCACCTCCTATTCTCTCCTGAACCTCTGTAACTGGCCAGTCTCCTTGGTGGTTACTCAATCTCTGGGTTAAAAATTCCTCAACTGTAAAATGGTGACATCTGTTTCAGCTGCAACATTTTCATCTAGGAAAATACGGCAGTTTCTTTTAATCACTGAAATATATTTAATAAGCTTAGCAATGTAACATTGAAAGTAAAAACAAATAAAATGAGTAGTTTACACAGATATTTTATGTAATCATTTGAAATTTCCATAATCATTTTCTACTCTTGTGATATATTTTAGAGAATGTGAATTAGCTTATGCATCATCTATGAAATTACCTAAGGCCTATCTTTAGCTGAGTGGTAATATTGTAGTTTTCTATATTAAGTGGTAAAATTGTAGTTTTCTATATTAAGTTCTGGCTAAGAGATCTTTGAAGTTTTTTTTTTTTTTTTTTTTAATTTTAAGACCTGTAAGAATTCCTTTTGAGATGCATTCTTGCACTGGCTTTTACCCATGCTAGTAATTTCTCTTACTGTTCTTTCACTATTCATTAGACTCAGGTTTAGAGGACAAAATTCCCCAAGTGAAATATGTGTCTGCAGCAAAGACACTCATACTTCCCCTACAAACACCACATCTTTTGAGAGACAATGGAGCAAGAAGAGAAAAGAACAATAAAGAACATTCCACTTTCTCTGTATCTGCCATCCTGATTTCATTTAGACCTCCTAATGTTCTCTCTGATCTGTGTGCATGGGCCATAATATACCTTCTTCACGGAGTTAATTGCTCAGTCTTTAGTATTCCAGCAGCATTTTATTCATGTTTCTCTTTTGGAAATTATAGTATGTCTGGAGCCTTAAATGATTCTATATAGATGTATTCTGTGAATTGTCATTTTTTTTACTCTTGAGAGCAGGACCCCCCAGTGCCTAGGAATAATTTTTAGAACAAATCTGGTGCTATAAAGACTGTTGAAAATGAATAGTCACATTTACTCTTATATTAAGATAAAAGTAATTTTATATGATCACTCTTTTTAAGCCAACCAAATGATGAATCTTCACTTGTGTAAGGGAAGAATAAAGTTATGCATGCCAGGAAAATAAAGGCTGAAAAGTTAAGATTCTTTAAAATTGATAATAATGACAATGCTTAGAGTTGAAGTTCTTATCCAAAACATTGGTGTTAAACCATTCATTACCTTGTATATTAACAGTATTTTTCTCTGTATAATTTCTTTGAAATGACTTATAAATATCAATAAATTTACTTGCTTTAAAGATTTTCCAAAAGCTTCATTAAATCTACATCTGATATGTAAAAATATAAATATTAGCTCTTGCACATTCAATTTGTCAAGATAATCCAATTACCAAAAGGAATTTTCACCATTGGCTAAAACCTGATTACTGGTTTATAGTCATATTACTAATGTAAATAGGAAGATATTTTTGTAATAAGTGTTTGAATTCCCTAAAATACAGCATGATTTCTATATTTGAAGAAAAGCATTATAGCTGTTTAATAAACCTGAGAACTATTATCAATGACTGATAAATAATACAGACTGAATGCAATGCTTATCTTCCTAATCGTGAAACAGAGTATAAATAAATGAAGAGTAAATTACATTTTAAAATACTAAGATCATATTAATACTTGTAATTCTCACTTCTTGGGATTTAACAAAAACCTGCTTTCCACTCTTCTGGACTATAGTCTGGCCTCTGTTTTCCAATGTATCCTCCCCATTCCTCGCCAAGTAATATCTTTAAAAATCAAATGTGTCTGTGTCAAACCCCCGTACAAAAACCAATTCCTCGCAAGGCTTTCAGAATAAAATTCAGACTCCTCAGCACGGCAGACAGGGACTGATCCCTGCCTATCTAAGCTGCTTCTCCCCAGTAACAATGCATTAATTGTAAGTTTCCGTATGTCCTGTGTTGTCTCATTGCACGGTGTTCCTTCTCTTTCAAATACCTTGCCTGCTTCTGTGTCTTCAGTGTCTTCCAGCTGTTACTCCCAGTAACTTCGTTCAGATATCATTTCCTTATCTAGTTGAATTATGGGTCTTTCATCTGTGTTCTCTTTATATCCAACACATAATTTAAAAAAACTAATTATATAGGTGTTCACTAAAGTGTAATACAGAATTTTGCTAACTTGTCCATCTCAGTCTCTGGGCTGTGAATTCTCAAAACAGGAACCTTGAATTTTGTCTCTGAATCATTAGAGCTGAACACAATGCCTAGCAGTGAAAAGTCACCAAACATATTTTTGTTGAGTAAATATAATGAATAACAAATAATTCATAGTTTTCTATGGACAGGAGTAATGTTCAAAATATTTAATAACCAGATGCTAGGAGCACCTGTTGGTCACACCAGAACTACTGTAACAACTGGTAATGCTGTACTTATTTCACCCACCCAGTATCAGCCTGGGCTGTGGATATCTTTGACTTTTTTATACCAAAAAGGAGAAAATGCATCTATTTTCATACCTACATGCAACTAGAGCCTTTTTAGAAACACACAGAGACATAAGGTGTTGGAAAGCACCTGGATGCATATACACAGAAGCCAATACAGTTGTGTTCTTAAGCTATTAATATGTGATGATAAATGCTTTCCTATAAAGTTTACAGTGGTGTTAAAGTGCTGCCATGCCTTGTCCTAATTACCCAGAGGCATGTTTCACATTCTCCAGTGGGCTATTTTTTGTTGTTAAATACCAGTAAGTTAAGAGAGAATAATTTCCACATTTTAAGGACCTGTAGTAAATCTTTATTGCCTTACTTCACATGTTTTGTAACAATAAACAATGCTCCGATCTCCCAACCAAAGCTTCCTTCATCTTTTATGTACACTATTGCAAAGGGTACTGCAGGAGCTGATTGACAACCTACTTCCATTCTTGTCTCCTAGCACCCCAAGCCAAGGCATCTGTTTTCACCAGAATGAACTTTCTAAAATGCAAATGTGATTATGGTACTTCCTACCAAAATACATTCAACTTTTCTGCATCACCTATAACAAACTTTTCAAGGCAATTTAAAAAAATGTGCTCTTAAAAAAATGCTCATTTTTGGGCTTTACACATGGAGACTCCAATTCAGTAGGGATGAGGTGGTAGAGTGGTACCTAGGCACTCTTAAAAGCTATTACAGGAGATTCTATCACACAGCCAGGCTGAGGAAAATTCATCCACAGGATGGAGTCCTAATACCATTACAGGGAAGAGACTATTCAGTAACTGCCACCTGCCTGTCACTCCCAGATCACTTATTAGCTCAAGACTTTGGCTTAATTACGTAGGTATTTGAGCCTCAGCTGCCTCAGTTTGAATGAGGATAATAGTACAAATGTTGCAGCACCATTCTAAGTATTAGATATAGTATTAGGTCATTTATCATCCAAACTGAGGCACTATTAATAATTACTTCAGGATACTATGATAAACTTGAGCTGTCCCAGACAAACTAGAGCACTATAATTTGAGGAGATACATTCAAAGCATTTTTTACAGTGGATATAACAGAAGCTCAATAAGTCACATTCATTTTTATCATTCTTCGCATTTGCTCCCCTATTCTGCTGGAAGTTGTAGCACACCAGGGTCATGGTGCAAGGCACACATGTGATGTTTGTGAAATGCTCTAACCAAGATCTTGAATGTTTGTCTATCATTACTCTTCTCCCCATATTCTTGATACTTTCTTCCTTGATTTTTTTTGTTTTGTTTTAACTTTTTATTTCCATAGGTTTTAAGGGAACAGGTGGTGTTTAGTTACATGAATAAGTTCTTTGGTGGTGATTTCTAAGATTCTGGTGCACCCATCACCCGGGCAGTATACACTGTGCCCAATTTGTAGTCTTTATCACTCAGCTCCCTCCCACCCTTTTCCCCCAAGTCCCCAAAGTCCATTGTATCATTCTTATGGCTTTGTATCCTCATAGCTTAGCTCCCCCTAAGAGTGAGAACATACGATGTTTAGTTTTCCATTCCTGAGTTTCTTCACTTATAATAATGGTCTCCAATTCCATCTAGGTTGCTGCAAATGCCATTATTTTGTTCCTTTTTATGGCTGGGTATTAGTACATGGTATATATACGTACCACAATTTCTTTAACCACTCATTGATTGATGGGCATTTGGGGTGGTTCCATATTTTTGCAACTGTGAATTGTGCTGCTATAAACACGTGTGTGCAAGTATCTTTTTTGTATAATGACTTCTTTTCCTCTGGGTAGATACCCAGTAGTCTCCCTTGATATTTTTTATAAACCTTGATATTCCCCTCTTTTCTCCTACTTTAGCTCATCTCTTTGTAAGTCCCAGGACAAGGAATGCAAAAGAGGCCCGCTTGCAATATATTTTTTTTTAAATTAAAAACTACATATCAAGCTAAAAAACGGTTAAGTATCTCCTACTTTGATGGGTAAATCATGACAGGTCCAAAATTAGACATCCTGGAATGCTTGGAGTTGCACACAGGACTGTGATGAGGGCAATGCCACTCCTGGGGGCCTACCACCCAGTCCCCTTTCTACTCCTATCCCTGACTCCATCTGCCTGACAGGAGCATCACATGGAAGGGTGTGGACACACCAACCTGCACATATTCAAGCTTTGTTCATCTCCCATTTTTACCTTCCCTAGCAAACAACTTGAAAGGTGTGTATTACATACCTGTTGCTACTGTAACAAATTACTACACCACCAGTGGCTTGAAACAACACAGATTTATTCTTTTTTAGTATTGGAAATTAGTCTTACAGAACTAAAACCAAGATGTTGGCATTGCTGTTTCCTTCCGGAGGCTCTAGGTGAGAATCCCTTTTCTTGCCTTTCTCAGCTTCTAACGCTGCATTCTTGGATCACGGCCCCGTTCTCCATCTCCAAAGCCAGCAGTGTAGCATCTTCTCTCCTCTTTGCCTTCTGTCTTGCTCTTGTAAAGACCCCAGTGATTACATAGAGCCTGTTTGGATAATCCAGGATAACCTCCTCATCTCAAAATTTTTAACTTCACATCTACAGAGTTCCTTTTGCCAAATTAGGTAGCATTTACAGGTTCCAGAGATTAGGATGTGGACATATGTGGGGGCCATCATTCTGCCTCCCAAAGGGTGTGCCTACCAATGGACACTTGAGAGGATGAACCCAAGGAAGAAGTGTGAGTGAGCACTGGAGCCACACTTGGGAACACGTAGGCAGGGATTCTGGTAATGGAGGAGCTGTGGGATCATGGTGAGCCTGTCCTCTTGGCTCTCAGAATTCTTTGCCCTGCCCAGCCAGAGGAAGTCCCTCTAAAGCTCAGGACCCAGGGCAGGGTCCTTTCTCAGGCAGGGACCTCAGCATGGTACATCTCCTTTCTCCTGCTGATCTGGCGACCTCTGCCTGATTCCCTTTCTCTTGATCTATCTACAAGACTGTCAGAGGAAAGCATGTTAGCAAATTGTTTTACTCTATTAAAAGTTCTTTTTCTCTTATTTTCATCCCTGCCTTTTGCTTGTCATGAAAGAGCCCCATTCCACACCCACTCATTGTTTTTAACCATCCTCACTGGCTTTCCCTTCCTTTGAATCTCTAATTCTAGCCTTCCGCCACCTCTTCAGTGTTCTTAAAATACACAAGATTTCGCCTGCTTGCTGTGTTTTTTTAAAAAATATGCTATCCAGCTAGCAAGTTATTCCTGAATCCTACAACGTTGTTAATTCATTCCTCTTATATTTCTTTTTTAGTTGTAAATTTTCCTCCAACATTTGAAGCCAGAAGATTTTCTTCTATAATCTTAATTTAAAATCACTCTACTTGGTCTACTTGTATACTCTGTCTTTATATTTTGCTGGATGTTGGCCATTTTAAATAATGTTTCCACACTTATACAATGTATACAGAAGAATTTTTATTTCCAAAAAGGTATCTTTAAAAAATGTTTTCTCCCTGTAGTCCCAGCTACTCGGGAGGCTGAGGCAGGAGGATCGCTTGAACCTGGGAGGCAGAGGTTGCAGTGAGCCAAGATTGCACCACTGCACTCCAGCCTGGGTGACAGAGCGAGACTCCATCTCAAAAAAAAAAAAATGTTTTCTCCTCTTTTAAGTTTTTAAAAATCTCTGAACGCTGATCTGTGTTTTTACTTATTCTCGTTAATGCATGGAAAGCTTAAGGAATCATCTATGTTTAAGGTCTGACATGGTTTTGAGACCTTATGAATTATTTCACAAGAAGGTTTTGTAGGTTTTTTCCTTAATGAGACATTACATATTCCTAAGGCTCTGATGAAAAGAAAATTTGCCCATTCAAATTTAATTTTAAACTCATGTTATACAATTTCAGTGATTTTAAAAATCTATGCCTATAATAATGTTATAATATTACCATAGTGTGTGCTCCATTAGGGCGCATGTGTCTGTCTTGTTTATCACTGTAGCTCCGTGATAGCCTAGCCACCAGTGGCTGTATTTTAGTAAATAACTGTGTAAGTGAATGTGAGAATGAATGATAGAATTTCAAAATGGCTTTAAAAAACAATATAAAGATGTTCCATATAAACCATGCTGCCTCAGTCACAACACTGAAATATAGACTTTTACATTTTCTTTTTTTTTTTTTTCTTTTTTTTTGAGATGGAGTCTCACTCTGTCACCCAGGCTGGAGTGCAGTGGCGCGATCTTGGCTCACTGTAATCTCCGCCTCCCGGATTCAAGCAATTCTCCTGCCTCAGCCTCCCGAGTAGCTGGGATTACAGGCATGTGCCACCACGCCTGGTTAATTTTTTTGTATTTTTAGTAGAGACAGGGTTTCACCATATTGGCCAGGCTGGTCTCGAACTCCTGACCTTGTGATCCACCCACCTCGACCTCCCAAAGTGCTGGGATTACAGGCGTGAGCCACCACACCCAGCCAAGACTTTTACATTTTCAATCAAATTTGTAGTCTCTCCTAGCCTATTCTGCTATGAGTAGTAAATTACTTCACTAAGGGTGCTAACTAAACTCTGTATATTCAAGATAACCATGGTCTGTTTAAATAGTTTATGAATGATAAATGCAGAAGATATTATATAGATGTTATTTTATAAAGATGCTATATATAGTGATAATTCCATATGTTATGAACTTATACAGATACTGAGATACCAAATATGCTAAAGACACTAAGATTTTTTTTTTTTTTTGAGACAGTCTCACTCTGTCACCCAGGCTGGAGTGCAATGACCTGATCTCAGCTCACTGCAACCTCCGCTTCCCAAGTTCAAGTGATTTTCCTGCCTCAGCCTCCCGAGTAGCTGGGATTACAGGCATGCGCCACCACGCCCGGCTAATTTTTGTATTTTTAGTAGAGATGCGGTTTCACCATTGTCCAGGCAGGTCTCGAACTCCTGACCTCATGATCCACCCGCCTCAGACTCCCAAAGTTCTGGGATTACAGGCATGAGCCACTGAGCCTGGCCACTAAGATATCTTTTACGCAGTGTTAGCTGACGAGAAATGTGACTCTCTGGTACTGAAATGAAGACTTTCCTCATTGCTTTAGGAATTGTGTATGGGGCTTGATTCACTGCGATTTTGTCTAGCTTTATAATGATAAATATGTGTATAATTTATTCAGTATGAAAGTATTTTACCTATCTTCCCTATGTCGAAGGTTTACTTCCTAGTGTTCTCTCTTATACAAATGATTGAAGGTGTCTTTTTTTATTGCTTGTCCTCAGAATGGCTTTACTCCTTTATACATGGCTGCCCAAGAGAATCACATTGATGTTGTAAAATATTTGCTGGAAAATGGAGCTAATCAGAGCACTGCTACAGAGGTAAGACTGTCAGCCCTAAAGCCTTGAATTCTTTGATCTTAATGTCCATATTCTTTATATCAGGCTGCAAATAGTCTCCATTACTTTGTCTAAAATATGCTAGGAATGTTCATGTTACTATTATAATCGCAACAGTGGCTGTGAACAAATGACTCAGGCTTGTGCACAGAGTTCCATCAGTTTATGCCTTCATTTTGGATTCGTGTCTATTTATTCTTACATAAAATCATGCTTCCATTAATTTTCCATCCTCTGACCTTTTAGGAGGTTTGTACCATTCTAAAATTCAATTACAGTAAATTCTACTCATCTCTTTTCACCAATACTTTATCTTTGTTAGGATCCAATATAATTCCTTAAAGGAACAATTTTTTTTACCATCAGAAATAATTCATAAGTATCTGTGTTAGCACAGTTTCATGAGGAATGTCATTAAAAAAAAACCCTGTACCTTATTGAAGCACAAATTATGACACATGGTTGTGTGACTGATTATGGCAACAACTGAATAGAATGTTCAAAATCAGTCTAGTTTTAAAGAGTTCCAGGACATCTAGACATAAGAAGTGGGAGTGGGCAGGGACCCTGAGAACATCAGTTTTCTTTCCTAAGCATTTCTTATTCCATTTTCTTTGTATTTTCCCTCTCATTTTTGCTTAGGCAGATTAAGGAGCAAGTTCAATGACTGTCTGGGGCAGTGATTTCAAGTGATGCTCCAGAAGCCCTTGTGCTTGGGGCCACTGGAAGGTTGGGAGTGGGCGACATGGAAGAGGAGAGGAAGAGAGCTCCCCTGAGACATGCCTCTTCTCACCTGTTTCAACCAGAGTATATGGGCTTGGCTTTTCTGTTTTTTTTTTTTTTTTTTTTTTTTTTTTTTTTTTTTTTTTTTTTTTGAGACGGAGTCTCGCTCTGTCGCCCAGGCTGGAGTGCAGTGGCGGGATCTCGGCTCACTGCAAGCTCCGCCTCCCGGGTTCACGCCATTCTCCTGCCTCAGCCTCCCAAGTAGCTGGGACTACAGGCGCCCGCCACTACGCCCGGCTAATTTTTTTGTATTTTTAGTAGAGACGGGGTTTCACCGTTTTAGCCGGGATGGTCTCGATCTCTTGACCTCGTGATCCGCCCGCCTCGGCCTCCCAAAGTGCTGGGATTACAGGCGTGAGCCACCGCGCCCGGCCTTTTCTTATTTCATATTTTGTGGCCCCACTGATAAAATTTCAAAACTCCTGGCCTGAAGTGAAAGATGACTGGTGGATTCTTGTTACCCAGAAACTATCTTAAGATAATTTTTAATGTCTAATATGGCTTCCTTTCTGGACAATTAAGTCTTGAGGACATGAACTCCCTTCTATGCTGCATTAGAAGGAGAGGTTATTAAAATGTAATAAATCATTTTCCAGTCCCTTTGGGAGAAAACTTTTTATGGAGCCAATTGCAACAAGTTTCTGACAGCTTATTCTCGTTAGTTAAAAAAAAAAATCCAAGAAATCACTATTAATGAGACCATGTTTCCTACCTATGACTGGAAAACACAACTACCCAGTATGAAATGTTTTTGAGTTCTCTATTCAATACACACAGATTTTATACTCTTGTCACTTGGATATAGTGTGATTTTTATGATTTGGGACCTTTTTTTCCCTCAGACACTAGTTCTGTCCATGATTACCATGGGAATATCTTCAGGCAGAGCTCAGGTAACAATATGAGACTGCATCTTTGCATCAGGGCCTCTGAGAAATATATCAAAATAAGGACATCTATATTTGTTTTATTTGATTTTGATTTCCTTGAAAGCAGAATCATTTACCAGATGAAACCTTTATGCTAGAGTGCTTCTATTTACCAAATAGACTTAAGGTTTCTAGTGTAGGATTTAGGAGAACTCAGCTCGCTGGCATTCCCAGCTGTCTCATGGCTCCTGGCTCTTTTGGTCAAGGCCACTGTAGCATTTCCCATTTGGTTCCAAAAATACCCTTTTATGTACATTGCAGCAGTAGAGGCCATGTTACACTCTGATCCCCAGAAAGTTAAAATCCTCTCTGATTTCACAAGGAAATGTGTCTTTTGCAAATAAATCATGTGAGGTTTTAAATTCTAGCTTAGACACATTATATACCTATTATTTGTTTCATTTTAGACAATCATTTAAATAATTAAAATTACTTTTTTCCGATTGAATATATAAGCTTAATTGATTAAACTCTCAATGCCTGCACTAATGGTTATCAAAAAACACACATGGACAAATCTTTACATATTCCTTTTTCGTGCATCATTCTGTAAAAAAAAAATAATGTTTTTACAGGGCTGTGTGGTTGATTGCCATTTGATATCCTGTGTTATACTGCTAAATACCTTCTACAGTCTTATGTGCCCATGTGTCAATATGCCTAAAGAAGGGACTTGCCCTGAGCTGTTTGGTAGCTAATTTGCAAAAATTAATGACTAATCAAGACATTATGATCACTTTAAAGTTCAATAATTGTGAGATTATTCAATGTGGCAATGAAATTCATGATTGAGAAGAAATATTTGAAGTTTTTAAATTTCCCATAATTATGGCACTTAGCATTGGTAAATAAATGATGAAAAATGAAGCTACCAAACTTTAATATGGATTTCCTTTTAATTGAGGCACTTGAACAAATCATTCCAAATGTTTAGCCTTGTCCCATGCAGTACAGATTAGAATGAAATCTACGTGGTGAAGATCCGAGGTTAAATACTAAGAAGGGAGTTCTCAGTCTCTCCAGTACCATTTTTATACAGTATTTCTCTACTCTCTTCCTTCTTCCTAAATATTACCAAAATTAAAGGCCAAAAACTTTTTAATGACATTCTGTTCTGTGAGCAAATGCCTCATCTCTAAGAAAAAGATTAATTTCACACTCTTTTAATATAAACTATCACAGTGCTGCAGGAGGTAATACATTTAAATATGTATGTGCTAATGAGTCTGTGCTTTTCTCATTCACAGAGCATTTAATTTGTGCCAAACAAAGTTCTAAATTCAGGCTACTATTTTTCATCTTAAGATACTACATGCTTTACTCTTCCATTCTGTTAAGTAATGTGTTGTGTTTAAAATTCAGTTATTATTAAAAAAACGATTATTATTGCTGGTACTGCACATTGATACAATACACTTGAGGAAAATTATTTTTTCCTCAGAAGTCTGCAGTGACTTTAAAAAAATTATTTTCGGAAAAAAATGGAGTAGTTAAATTGTGGTAAATTACCATCGTCTCTAGAATGCAGTCCTGGGTTCAAGCAATTCTCCTGCCTCAGCCTCCCAAGTAGCTGGGATTACAGGTGCACGCCACCACATTCATCTAATTTTTTCTTTGTTATTTTTAGAGGAGATGGGTTTTCACCATGTTGGCCAGGCTCATGTCGAACTCCTGAACCTCAGGTGATCTACCTGCCTCAGCCTCCCAAAGTGCTGGGATTACAGATGTGAGCCACCGTGCCTGGCCTAGAATGCAGTCTTTCTTTTTTTTGAGATGGAGTCTTGTGCTGTCACCCAGGCTGGAGTGCAGTGGCACGATCTTGGCTCACTGCAAGCTCTGCCTCCCGGGTTCACGCCATTCTCCTGCCTCAGCCTCCCGAGTAGCTGGGACTACAGGCGCCTGCCACCACGCCCGGCTAATTTTTGTGTTTTTAGTAGAGACTGGGTTTCACTGTTAGCCAGGATGGTCTTGATCTCCTGACCTCATGATCTGCCCGCCTCGGCCTCCCAAAGTGCTGGGATTACAGGTGTGAGCCACCGTGCCTGGCCCCAGTCTTTCAATTTACCATTCTATTGCCCATATTTTTTTCTCTATGGAAATGGAAACTTCTAACTTTGAGACTTGTTTTCCAACTTTTGTGGATTAAGGATGTTTTTTTTTTCTTTCACGTAAGTAGAGCCTAAAATATATTATTTTTTAATGTACTTGTCACCTTTCCAGGAACTGAATTCTTGTTTCTAGAAAGAAAAAGATAGCTTTCCAAGTTTTCTAGCATGATTATCTAAGTTTTCTCTACCTTTTCACTTCCCATGCTGTTTTTTAAGCTGTCTTTTTAAGTTTAGAATTGAAAAACAGGTTTTTCTACATTACCTAGCACATGTAATTTTATATCTCAATGGTCAAAATAATATAAAATTCAACTATTAAGAGCATAATTAATAAGTTATCCTAATTTGCCAGAGTTTTAGATCATATTGTTCCCTAAACTTCCAAAATTGAACTGGTAATAGACAACTCCATCCCCAGGGGCTGTTTTCCCTAACCATTCAGATATATTTAATAACCTGCATAGTCAATCATATATTTTATTTCCCTGTCTCAGTCACCATATCTTTGATTCCCAGTCAGACTTGGTCTCCATTCTTTCTACCCTTCCCACTTTTCTGCTTTACCTACAGAGGCATTATTTAGGATTGGTTCTCACTTTTATTTTTCGATTGCAACCATACATTTGAGCACATCCTGTATGTAATATGTTTGTTAAGGAATGCGGATGTTTTTCAAAATGTATAGAATAGAAATTAGGAAAGCCGTCTGATTAAACTATTCCATAATATGATGGATAACTGGTTATAATCTGCTTCTAATCTTCCCAGTAATATTTTATTCTTTTGGTTGTCAATCTTGATCATTAAAGATTAGAGGCATCATTGCTTAGAACTAAATCTCTAGCATCTGAAGATGTTAACAGACAATTTTTACCTTCCATTTTACCAGGATGGCTTTACTCCTCTAGCTGTGGCACTCCAGCAAGGACACAACCAGGCGGTGGCCATCCTCTTGGAGAATGACACCAAAGGGAAAGTGAGGCTGCCAGCTCTGCATATTGCCGCTAGGAAAGACGACACCAAATCTGCCGCACTTCTGCTTCAGAATGACCACAATGCTGACGTACAATCCAAGGTACTTAAAGCTGAACACATTTGTGGAAAGGAACTCTTTGGCTGCCAGACTCCTCCTGGGGGATGATAAAGAAGTAGGCCATGGTGATAATGCAAAATTATTTCTGGTCATAAAAAGAGATAAATGACTTTCAGAGGTATTTCAGAAAGAAGGGGACCATCTAAAAAAATTAAATGCAAGATAATTTTCTTTAAAAGATGAGGTTGAGCTTTTTAGAAATCTGCTTTCTTATTCTGTTTATAGTCACAAATAATAGAATTTAAAAGATAAAATTGTATTGTGTGGTGCTTGGGGATGTCTTCTTCCAGTAGAATGCATTTTGCCATGTTGGAACAGTATACCCAATTGCAGCGAGCAGATTGACTGTTTCCATAATTTTGCATTGTGTAATATCTTCCCTCTTTCTTCCAAACAACACTGCTTCAGATGATGGTGAATAGGACAACTGAGGTACAGTATTGTGGTTATACCAAAATTTACCTTGTCTTTATTTTTAGTTTTTGCCCAATTGGAATAAATGCTCACTAATTCATACTAATGATTAGAAGTTTGATTAATGGGAAATTAATTTGAAAACCTTCCCCATAATGAAGGCAAACTGATAATTCAAAGATATTTAGTGTAACATATATTTGAAGCATTATTTTTATCAGTAAAACTATTTAAATAAGTTATTAGAGAATGAAATGAAACTCTTTCTTAACATATATTTTAATGAGTGAGATTTACTATTAACTTATTGTCAAGAAGAGATATGATTTTATTTCCTTAATGAGAATTCTTAGGTTAGAGTTTTAAGGAAGTGAAAATTTGGGAGGTTTCTCTGCCACTGAGTTTTGTCTTTTTATCTAATTGCTGTTGCCCTTTTTTTTTCTGTATGCTCTTTTTCTTTACCACATTTATATAATAAATGATGTTATTGAGCATATCAAGAGCAGACCAATTGCTTTTTCTTGTAAGTCTTAAAATACTTGTCATGGAATTGTATATTTTCCACATTCCAAAGTAAGTCACATCAATCAATAAGAACATTAAGTTCAGAAGCCTCTCAGTATGGTGTGTTTGTATATGTATGTATTTAGTAGTCTCTCCTTGGCCATTGCTACAGAGAGAGACACTAACACGAACATTGTTGATGTATATTATACAAACTAACCTATACTCAAAAACAAGTGACTTTTTATGTAGGTCCATTATTGTTTTGCTGAGGGGATTCTTTAGACTATCATCTCGCTTGATGACTAGGTTGTGGACTTTTGAGCATTCTCACAGGGTATACTTGAATTATTTGTGTTATTTCTTTTGTTCCCTATCGTTGCATGGAACCTAGGTCAGAGACAACGGAAAGCCCAACTGCTTGGTGAACTTGTTCACAACTGGAACCGTACAAATTGATATCTTAATAACTAATTTCAATACCTTTAATTTCTTAGATGCTTTTTGGTGATTATTTAAGATACATTTTTGAAAGCAGTATTGGCTCTAAACATTGTGAAAGCAGAAGTTTGGGTGGATTTTTACTGAGTTATAAATATTTGCTTGAAGACAATAGAGTAAAAAGAAGAGAAACCCCTTCGTCTAATCCTGTAGAAATGTGAACTCTGCCTCCTACTTCCATGTTAATCAGGGAAGCGTTCCTCTGAAGGGCTGATACCAGTTTTGTGCTGATCCAAGATTGACAGCTTGGTTATCATTATGAATGATCAGTGAGGCTGTATCAGACAATAAGTTTATTTTTGCAAATGATATTACTATATTTAAATACTTTGAAAATGATCCACCCACCCTCAATATGTTTTTCTGAAACTAAATTGTAACATCAGTAATAGACACACACTCAGGGTATGTCTGTGTGACAGGAAATATCAAGATAAACATGAAATAAATTTAGTCAATTATTTCCTAAAATATGAAAATTTGACATTTTATAAAATAACAGCCAGGTTGAGGGCTGATTTTCCCCTCCATTTTGACATGAATATTGGCATTATGTAAATGCAAAATAAAAATATCTTGATCATAGATAGGGGATTTGGATTAATAGTAACTGTTCTTATTTTGTGTCTTGCTTCTCTCTAAGTAAGAAATTATTTGTATCTAATGTTGCTACAGTAAGAGCACAAATTTTCATTACCTAAGGTATCTGAGTGCTTATTTAGGGTGTTTTTAAAACAAAGCCACCAAAGCCTATAGATCAACTCAATAGAAAAAAAGTTGTAATTTTGAAAATATTTCTTAAAAACAATACAGTAAACATCGTAGTTCATTTCAAGTAAAAGAGAGCAATACCAAGTAACCCAAAAACTGCAGGATGTGATAGCCAAATAACAGTTTCTATTTTTCCCATAATCTTTTGTTAAGTAGTGAAAATTCTGGAGAGTAAGAAAAATTATTAGATCTTTGTGTACTTTAATAAGAAAAGAGTTAACATGCTTCTATTGCAAAGATGGCAACAATTTTCAACTAGATTTTCATCAGAAAAAGAAAGAAAAGGAAATATATTTTTTTCATTTGATAATTTCAGACTTATTTTTTAAACATTTTGAGAGTAAACAGTTCTGTAATGCCCATATAGTTGATTTAACCTGGTTGGTTAAATTACACTTTATTGTATTGATAAAATTTGTTTAACATTCAAAATTGGAGTGAGCTGAACTTTTTTCTTCCTTTTATATTCCTATTGATGCCACGTATATTGTTTAATTTTTGTTTTTTAATTATTTCATCATGACAACAACATAATCGTGCTACACAGTTGTAAAAGGGTATAGGAATATCATGACAGTGTAAATGATGTGGAACAAATTCTATATCTTTGTAAGAATTTTTCAACATATTTTCATGCTTCCAAAAGTATAATGTCAACAAATACTGCTTTTTTAAAACAAAAATAAAACAAAAACACTGGTTTCTTTGAATCTTCTCTGAAAAGACATTAAAAAATTCATTGATATGTTAATCCTATGGCTGAAACCTGATGTTGTTTAAACATATTCTGGTTTTCTTCAATATGCAAAACCAACTTAAGAAACATTGTTTTGTATAAACAACAAATCTCATAAATAGATAAATATTTAAGATAATTAAAAATATGCCATGAATATTATGCCAATAAATGTAGAATATTTATTTACTTTTTATATGTTTAGTTATGTACCACCTTATAACATTAAGATTTAAGATCTTACTAAAGCATTTATTATTGCTTATATATTAGGTAGACTTTTACCATGTGACCTTCTTCACTAATACAATGGCTGCAACATAGAAAAGTGAAGCGCTATACTGACTGTCATATCTTTGCTTTCATAGAGTGGTTTTACCCCTTTGCACATAGCTGCACATTACGGAAATGTCAACGTGGCAACTCTTCTTCTAAACCGGGGAGCTGCTGTGGACTTCACAGCCAGGGTATGGATTGAAATAGTTTCTCATTCTAGATAGCAGTAAATGAATATTTTAATAAAGTAAAAAGGAACACCAATGGCTTTCTTAAAGATTTTACTTCTTTTTCCTTACCTGGGTCTGTGCTGGAGATACTAGATTTTTCATTTCCTTTCTTTAAATCACAAGAAGTCATCTTGGCTTAAGCAGAAAATAAGAATGTTGTAAACTCATGCAAAAATTATTTCCAATAGTTAAGGATGACATTCATTCTGACCAGTATGAACAGTTATATTTAACGATCATGCCATGAATCCTGATAAGTCACGTCAAAAAATTATTAAACTGTTAAAATGTTAACTATAAAATATATAAGTAGCATGTCTTATGATGACTGTAGGGCACACAATTTGATAGGGAATTGTTTTTAATGAATTGAGAATTTGTTCACATGAAGTCTTACTAAAATACATAAAAGGTGTCACATTGTTACATGTTTCATGGTATGCTGTTATTAGAAAGAATTCACTTACATGATAATGGTATATATCAGTATACTTAATATACAGTTAATGCAGAATATGAATATACAAAAATTACAACAGACAAAAAATCAGGTACATATCCTTGCCATAATGATGATATGTGATAGCCAATAAAATAAATAAATATAATTTGTATGTATAATGTTTTTGTACTAAGAAGTCATCTGCACTGAAACTATGTTGTGTTATTTTCAAGCTGTTTTTCTTACTGAATTATTCTGAAGGAGACGTTTGTTTGTTGTTGTTGCTGTTTAGAGACAGGGTCTGGCTCTGTTGCCCAGGGTGGAGTGCAGGGGCATGATCATGGCTCACCGAAGCCCTGAACTCATGGGCTCAAGCAATCCTCCTGGCTCAGCCTCCTGAGTAGCTAGGACTACAGGAACACACTACCATGCCTGGCTAATTTTTTAAAATTTTTTGTAGCGATGAGGTCTTACTATATTGCCCAGGCTGGTCTTGAATTCCTGGCTTCAAGCAATCCTCCCACCTCAACTTCCCAAAGTGCTGGAATTACAGACATGAGCCACCATGCCCAACTTGAAGGAGATGTTTTTAAGAATCATTTTTATATTGGATATTAATACCCAAATATTTGTATTCTGTTTTTAAGAATCATAAAACTTAAGATGCCAGACTCTTTAAGTGCATGGATGTTATAGAAAGAAAGACTTTACACTAGGGCCCTATCTTAGGTAGATTTAAAATTTTTGTTTCTATTACAGTAAAGTGGTCCCTTTGTCTCTTGACTATAACTTGTACATTCAATACATATTTTGTAGTTATTGACTAACTTAGTTATGCAGTTTCATTCCATTTTTCATTCTCTAACTATATTGTTTTGTGGTTTGTGTGATTTTTGTTCCTTAAAAATCAAAGACATAGAAAGAGTAGAAACTGTGGATCAAATTACCACGTAGGTCACAACTTCCTTTGTGGCCTTTAACACAAAGGCATCGCCATCATGCCCTGTCATACCCAACAGCTCTTGTTTGGTCTTTCTGTGGTGTAGAATGGAATCACTCCTCTGCATGTGGCTTCCAAAAGAGGAAATACAAACATGGTGAAGCTCTTACTGGATCGAGGCGGTCAGATCGATGCCAAAACTAGGGTGAGTGTCTCTGTTCTTTCAATTTTCTACCATTATTATTTCTTTCAAGCCTCATAGAAGGCACCTCAAGACACCAGGTCATTAACATAAGCAATGTGTTTTCAAGGAAATTGCTTTATTGGAATTGATTTAAATCTCATACAACATTTAAAGGGTTCATACCGTACAGTGAAATTAATATTTGCTCATAAGTGCCCAGAGAAGCAAAATGTTGGTCCCTCAATGAGATAGTTTTTCAAGTTTTGGCTTAGTGATTTTCTGGGACCAAAGATCAAAGATTAGGCTTACACAACTCTCTTTTGGGTAGTTATAAGTATCAAGAACCCAAACTAATTACCATACATTAAGATTGAGAATGTGGCTTTTACACAAAATATTTTAGTACATGTTTACAATCTTTTGCTTCTAAGTATTCAATTCCTAATTCATTTTTCTTAAGCAGCTATGCTATACTGACCTGAGCAGGGGATTTGCTATTATGGAGAAAAGCATACAGTTAGTATACTATACCTTTATGTCATTTTGGTAGAAGTGATAGCTTTCATTTGTTTCAAACTTAAGTAAAATGTCATTTCAAGTTTGCAGTACACCCCAAATAGATAACACAATAGACAGTAGAGTTCAGTTGTTAAAAGTGCAGAATAAAGGCAAACTGCCTGATTTCAAATCCTATTTTTACTATTAATAAGTTGTATTATATTGGCAGTTTACTTACCTTCTCTGAACTTAGGCTAATAATAACACACCTACTTCATAAAGTTGTGTGAGAATTAACTCTTAGGTATATTATTTACCATTTTTGAAAAAGCAGAGTAAATTACCTAGCTCTTCATAATATTTGATAATATTACTGACGTTATATAATATGTAGTTATTTGCTGAAACATGTAAGGATTATTTCAGTATTAATTATCTGGAGTAGATTTGGTTAATCATAGACTTCAGCAAAACTTCAAATGTGCCTATAATACAAAAATGTTAATATGTGGTATAAAAGTCTATGTTAATATGTGGTGTAAAAAGCCTATGAAAGATGATAAATAGAATATGTCTCTTATGGTATTTTACTTCACTTTGTTTAATTCTGAGACTTCATGTTTTCATAGTCCCAGCAGTAAAGATCAAATCTAGTTTCCTTGCAAATCTGGGGGCTAGCAAACACTTTTGTTTAATAAACTTTATCATCTGTAAGCTTCCAGAATCTATACCAGTCCCAGACTATAAATTATGGTTTTTAATGACCTCAGGAAACCTTGCTTTCTTAATCTCACTTCTCTAAAACTTTTGGTCCAGAGTGGCTACATCACAACACGTGGGAGTTCTGGAGAGGTTTGCGTTCTGTCAAATCTTTGCTGTGGTGTCCAGTGTCTTTGCATCAGAGTTTTATATGGTTTCTACTTTTTGCTTAGTAGGCATGCCTTTTTCCTTACCATACTGTGAGTATACAGAATTTGGAACAGTATGCGTTATGTTGCATGGTTTGCTTACTTATTCTTTCTATTTAAAGGAATGAGTTTTGCACATTACTACATTACTAACATCATTACTAACATTACCAATGTATTACATTACAAACATACTTTACTAACATAATTTCTTCCTATATACTGCCTTTATGAGATTACCACTGGAAAGAAAGCATTTTGGAAATGCAAAAAAATTTTTATCTTGGCCAATGTCTTAAGGATGCACATTGCTTTTATTAATGCTTTTTGGAGTATTAACTCATTATTAAGATAGTTGACTTTGTTCTTATTAATCAACAGTATTTACTTAATAAAAGTACTCTAATTTGTGTGGCTTACATATATTTGGGTATACAATTAAAAAGTCTAACTCCAAATAGACAGTGTATCTTCATAAAAAGAGTACTAAGAAATGAAGAGAAATGGATTCTTATACTAGTTCTGTCATAGTGCAGCCTTTAGATACAGCAAATAAATTAAATTTCATTCAAGGATTTAAAAAGAATAAAATAGGTTTTCTAACTGTATACATTGTATAAACATTCCATTCATTTATTCCTTAAACAAATAACTATTGAGTTCCTACTTGGTGCTGTGAACCCTGAAGATACGACAGTTAACAAGACAGAGTAGGTTTCTAGACTCATAGAGATGCAAGTCAGTAGTTCAAGGAATTAAGTTAACAGTCTTCTTGTAAAAGTTTAATAATAGGTTCTTAAAAAACAAAAAAACAAAAAACAAACAAAACCCTTGATTTGTAGCATTACCTTTGCTGGTTTCCATGGTGTAAATACTTCTACAGTGGTCAGTTTAGAGCTAGCAACTTGGTATCACTAAATGTAGAATTGGGAAGAGGTGTGCAAAAAGTGGCTCTCCTTATTTCATATGAGCTGGTTCCAGCACACCCCAGGATTAGCTACAATATTGAATGGTTGCACTGAACATTTTTATTTTTATTATACTTTAAGTTCTGGGGTGCATATGCAGAACATACAGGTTTGTTACACAGGTATTCACGTGCCATGGTGGTTTGCTGCACCCATCAACCTGTCATCTACAATAGGTATTTCTCCTAATGCTATCCCTCTCCTACACCCGTCCCCCAACAGGCCCCAGTGTGCGATGTTCCCCTCCCTGTGTCCATGTGTTCTCATTGTTCAACTCCCACCTATGATCGAGACCATGTGGGGTTTGATTTTCTGTTCTTGTGTTAGTTTGCTGAGAATGATGGTTTCCAGCTTCATCCATGTCCCTGCAAAGGACATGAACTCATCCTTTTTTATGGCTGCATAGTATTCCATGGTGTATACGTGCCACATTTTCTTTATCCAGTCTATCATTGATGGGCATTTGGCTTGGTTCTAAGTTTTTGCTATGTGAATAGGGTTGCATTGATCTTTTTTAGCACTAAACTTTCCCCCCATAAGTTGAAATACTTCTTCATCTGTAAGTAGAAGGATTTTAAAAGCATTGTTGGGTTCTTTTCATTCTGGCTACAGCTAACAGACCTATATCCCTCTTACTAAAGACAAAATCAAGTAGGAGGTAAATACTGAAATCAAGGACTGTGGGCTGGAATTGGGAGGCCAATTCTGGAACTATAATATTTGATTACTAAAATAAATGAATATGTTTTGCTTTTTCTTTTGCTTTTGAAATGTATTCAAAAATAGAAAAATGTTTATATTAATTAGTTCTCATGCTGCTATGAAGAACTGCCCGAGATTGGGTAATTTATAAAGGAAAGAAGTTTAATTGACTCACAGTTCTGCAGGGCTGGGGAGGCATCAGGAAACTTACAATCATGGCAGAAGCAGAAACAAACACATCCTTCTTCAAATGGTGGCAGGAGAGAGAAATAAGTGCCCAGTGAAGGGGGCAGCCCCTTATAAAACCATCAGATCTCATGAGAACTAACTCACTGTCACAAAAATAGCATGAGGGTAACCACCCCGTTATTCAATTACCTCCCACTGGGTCCCTCCCATGACACATAGGGATTACGGGAAATAGAATTCAAGATGAGATTTAGGTGGTGACGCCTAAATCAAAACATTGATAAACTATATCAATGTTTAATTTGGTTTTGACTATATTTTTAGAGAATATAATAAAGCTTCTACATATGAAAATTTTTTTTTTTTTGAGACGGAGTTTTCACTCTTGTCACCCAGGCTGGAGTACAATAGTGCGATCTCGGCTCACCGCAACCCCCACCTCACTGGTTCAAGCAATTCTCCTACCTCAGCCTCCCAAGTAGCTGGAATTACAGGCATGTGCCTGGTTAATTTTGTATTTTTAATAGAGACAGGGTTTCTCCATGTTGGTCAGGCTGGTCTCAAACTCCTGACCTCAGGTGATCTGCCCGCCTTGGCCTCCCAAAGTGCTGGGATTACAGGCGTGAGCCACCACACCCGGCCGGAATGTTTTTAAAGTATTATGTTTTCATTTTGTTGTTGTTGTTGTTGTTGACATCTCAATTTCCCCCAGCATTTAAATTAACCACAAATATTCTGAATTTAGTATATTCTGTCAAGGATCTTGCCTTGATCTTCTCATTATTTTTTCTCATTCATAAGGTTTTTATTATCTAGAGAATAGCAAGATCTAGAGAGGCTTTCAGATAATTAAGAAACAAATATTACCCACAGTTATTTCTTGGCTCTCATCACCATTTTGGCAATCATTGAGGCATTTTCCATCTTGTTGGCATTCTCATCATTGACTACTATCTAATGTGAAACTCTAAGACATTTGCACCAGAGCCTTTTACTGGTATCTGAAAGACCTCATTTCAATGTGAAAACGTAAATTTTATAGCTAGTGAAAATGAAATTATAAATTTAGGCTTTATTAAGGGCATTATTCTTTTTTTGTTTTTAAGCTTATTTATTATTTAAATGTGGTGATACCGCATATTAGGATTATGTTTAAAATATTAAAAAACATATTTCAAAGCAAACAATAAAAAGTGTACAAAAACATTAAAGGATGATGAACAAAAAACACACAGGGAAAAGGAATCACCCTTCTTACTTGTTATTAGGTATAATAATTAAAGCAGTAACAATAATGGTTTTCAATTGTCATATGCATATGTTGTTCTAGGCACCCTGCTAAGTACTCTACAAATATCATCTTATTTTATCTTCCTAACAACTTATGAAGTGTGTATTATTTTCTTGTTGAGAATATATGGAGGTCTTCATTTGAGAAATGAGACTACCAAAGGGAGAAATTAGTTTCAGCAGAATTATGTAACTTGACCTAGGACACAGAACTTTGTAATCAGCAGAGCCTACCCATGTATTCACACAAACTTCAGAATACATTGTTGAAAGAATGACCTAAGCAGAGAGGGGGGAAGATATGAAAAGATAAAGAAACTACATAAGTGGCATCCCTCCAATGTTGATTGATCTACCTTTATGAAAATTATCCACATCATGGTGTATAGTACATCCGTGTGATGAACTGATTCTAGAGAAAAAAAAAAAAACAACAACAGAGAAAACACAAGGGGTCTCTGGAAGGGGGAAAAACCCATAACCTGCAACTACAAACTTAAGAATTTAAGTAAAAAGATTTTAGAATACAAAAGCTTGAAAAGAATTTTTTTGGGGCATTAACTTTATAATGTGCTTTGCAGAAAATATTCAAAATCTAATCAAATTGAGCCTGTTGGGTAACTTGAATTTGATGTCATCATTCACACATCTTATAAGCACAGACACCTTGCATCATTAAATGTAGGATTTAGAACTAATTTAATCCTTATTGTTCCTTGATGTTCTTGTGGGTATATTAAATGTTCTCCATAAAGCTCCTGTTGTTACTCTGAGAGTATTTTGGATGTTTCAACATGATTACACAAAGACTATTTCATGCAATTTGCAGAAAGCAATACTCTGCCTTTTCTAAAAAACATGTAAGGTGCCATTCCCTCCTTCATCTTTCAAACAAGGCTTGCAAGTTAAATAGGGTGAGAAACATCATCTCCACTCTATGTATCACGAAGCTCAGCCTTAGAGAGATTCATCCATGGTGACCGATTTGAGATTCACTGCAGGGTTCCATGGTTCCGAAGTCCACACACTGAACTGTTACATATGATGTCTCTGTTCACCATGTGGGATTTCTCAAACCCTAGGTCTCCACAAAGCCCTCACCAAGAATACGTTTGAGAAACCATGCTATATCTAATTGTTAGGTAAGTTATGTAGCAACTAATGCTCTGTAGTTCCACCACAGGGTGCTTTTATCAGGATACAAAAGTGTAATCATTGTCATCACTTTGCTGGAACAACTCTTTAAGGCTCCTATCTGGCAAATTTTAAAATAATGTAGCATTTCAACTACACTAGCTAAATACTTTTTTTCTGAGAAGGCAATCTTTTCATGCTAATTCTTAGGTACCCAAAACTGCAAAATCTGTTTTGGTTATTCAATATCTTCGTACTAGCTAAATGGATTTCACAAAGCAAAGAATCATTATCAGTCAAGGTCCTAGCCAAAAACAGAGGCCCAAATTTGATCATTTGATTAGAGATTATTGAAGGGTCTATTTATAATATTGTGTAGTCTGTAGGAAAGAGACAAGGGACAAGGGACAGTGTAGAATCCCAGGGGCTAGTAACAGCGGGACTCAATACCAGTGCTCAACCTAAAAAGTGAGAAGTACAGGAGACCCCCAGAACTTCAAAGGAGAGAATTGTGTGGAAAGGCTGCTTTGGCAGGAAGGTAAACTTTCGTAAAGACACACAGCCGGATTTGGGAGGTCTCTCGAAGTCCTTTTCATGTCTTGCTGCATTGGCCAAACCCAGCTGGAAGCCAGAGGACAAGGCAGCTCACTGATGCCCCCTACAGTGGCCAGTCTGTTGGGACACAGAGCAGGGAGGAGAAGGGTAGAGCATGGGTCTGGAGGGGCAAACAGAAGACATCTAGCATAGAAATCTCCGTGTTGAGTCAGAGTGTTGCGATTCAGAGGAATTATTTTTATTTGGAGTAAAGCATAACCTGGAGAGATGGTCCTGGAAGTAGAGACACAAACGAGAGGCCATTTGAGTTCTGGATAAATCAGAAACTGCTGAAATCTTCTTAATTGCTCACCATCCATTCTCTGTGATTTATCCACCTTCTCCACCTCTGTCCTTGGGACAATCTTTTTTTCTTTTTCCTTCCACCTCAAATCACCAGTAAATTTAAGCACTCAGTATTTCATTTTCTCTCTCACTTCTTGCTCACTGTTAATTACATTTCGCCTCACATTTCCCACCCACTCTGCTTTTTGCCCATGCCACCCTAAAGAGAAATAAAATATAAAAGACAGAGGGCACTTGGGGATTGCTCTGGAATCAGAGGCTATCCCAGAAGTGTAAAGATCAGAAAGTTTTATAAGTAATATAGCATACAGTTCTGCCATATTTTATTTGATGGAGTTAGGGTTCTATTTATTAATAATAAAGTTCATCTTTGGGAAGCAATTATGTGATTTCTAAAATGTTGAAATATATGTGTGAAAATCTTTAAAATAGTCTAAAAAATGATGCTTCACTTTTGCAAGCATTAGGAAGCATTTTAGAATTTATGAAAGTGATGACAATTCAAAAGAGAACATATGTGAAAAAATTACGCTAAGAAAAATTTTTAGGTAAAAGTATATTAGAACAAACAATATGAAGACAGTATAACCTAATATAATCCCTGTTTTCGGTTCCAGGGAGTAGAGCTTTAAATTTCAACAAATGCCACATACTGTGCTTTCCCATCTTCTTGAATACGCAGACACATGACCAGAAGCCAATTTCATTCCATTGACCCTCTGTCCACACAGGGGATCTCTCTTGCTTTCTCCCTGTCTCTGTTTTGTTTGTCTTTCCCTTTCTCTTTCTTGTTCTCTGTGAAGATGTACTTCTGACTTGTTTTCTCTTTCACTCATCTTTCTGGTTATTTAACAAATTGCAGTTCTATTACTTATTTATTGAGTAATCAGGATTGAGTTTAGGAACTCCCTCTTTATGGTTGCAATAGATGAAATATAGATTTTTTTGAAGTGAACTTGGGCCTAATTCTTTAATTCTTTTGGCAGGATGGGTTGACACCACTTCACTGTGCTGCACGAAGTGGGCATGACCAAGTGGTGGAACTTCTGTTGGAACGGGGTGCCCCCTTGCTGGCAAGGACTAAGGTGAGTCATTATGAGTAAGATGGGGTCCTAAGAAATCTTTAAGTTACTTGATGTATTATCTCTATTCTTTTTTAAATTGAAACATCAGGCAAGCATTTTCTAGTTCTTTAATAATTGTGTGCTAGGAATAGGAATATGTATCAAACCACTTAAAATTATTAAAATAAACAGATATATGAATTAAGATGTATTAAATGTGTGCCTTCAAGTTTTTGTCTATATTTTTACCTGTTATTCTTACTGCAGATGGAAATCTGAATACATCTGTATTTTAAATATAAATGAGAATATCTCTTAGATGCTGAGTCTAGATTTTTATGATTCTCTCAGATGACTATGAAACATATATAAAATTATCTTTTAAAGCAGAACAATTAGCAACACAAAATGAATCTTTTTGCTCATCCAATCTTTATCTCTTAGGCAATACTAATAAAAAGTAATTACTCAACAGTGGCATTGGTTGATTATGTTGAAGATTAGTAGAGGTGATTTGGAAAGTACAAGTTGCAATAGGCCACCTACAAAGAACTATTAAGCAAGCATATTTTCTTTATGACATACTACATCTAGCCCTTTTTCCTCCCGTTTTATCAATATGCTCAAATATGGGAGAAGCACTTTTCCATATACATGAGCACCACACTGTGAGTTGGTTTGCTGAAGATTTTTCATTATCAAATGTATTTTAAATGCTTTTATTATTGTATAGTTCTCTATTATCCAACCCTACATTGGGTTATCAGAAAATATTTTGAGACACGAATTGGAGATACTCATACAGAGCTGATTAATGTGATATGCAGCAACCTTGGATCCTTAAATACAACACAAAGTTAGACAAAGGGCAGTTGTTGTATTTTCTCCCTATTCCATTCCACCTCATACCACCGCCCCCCCCCCCGACAGAGTTGGTATCAACTAATGCTATTACTAGGGTAAGCTGAAGAAACTAAGGCAATTGACACAAACAAATATTTTTCAATTTATATATAATTGAAATCATTTGAAACAAAACTAGCCCATATGTTTAAGATATGTGTAGAATGAACTCAATTTGTAAAGGTGTGCCCACATGCCATAAAAGAGTGGCTTCAAATCAGTAATATATGAAGAAGAGAAATAATTATCCGCGTTACTTTTATTCTCATACCTATACTGTGAATGTTGTATAGATCTGTCTTTAAAATGCAACAATTTGGGCTGGGTAATGCAGAGATAATTATGTAAAGTTTTGATAAAGAAACGTTGAAATTTAAATGGAAATAACAAAATTTCAGACCAATCATGTTACAGCCAATACAAAAACCAATATGAAGTTGAAAATAGGCAGATATGCTTTACAAACCGTAAAATAATCTTATCTGCAGAGTTTGCTTGTAATTGTCATGTCACTAATGAAGATGGCAGGTTACCTGGATGGAATTTTTTTAATGTCCTTCCTGTAAAATCAAGTATCATTCAAATGTAAGGATCCTGCATAAAGTGTCTCTGAGTGTACAATTATGTTCATGTATTCATGCATCCAACTATTATATAATATTGAGTAGATACAATTTGCCAGGCAAGTGTTCTAGTCACTAAGGCACCATCAAGATGAATAATACAAAATCTTTTTTTTTTTTTTTTTTTTTTTTTGAGATGCAGTCTCGCTCTGTCGCCCAGGCTGGAGTGCAGTGGCACGATCTCGGCTCACTGCAAGCTCTGCCTCCTGGGTTCACACCATTCTCTTGCCTCAGCCTCCCGAGTAGCTGGAACTACAGGCGCCCACCACCACGCCCAGCTAATTTTTTGTATTTTTAGGAGAGACGGGGTTTCACCGTGTTAGCCAGGATGGTCTTGATCTCCTGACCTTGTGATCTGCCCATCTCGGCCTCCCAAAGTGCTGGGATTACAAGCATGAGCCACCACGCCTGGCCATAATACACAATCTATAGCTGCAAGAAGCTCAGAAATTAGTGGGCATGATAGAAAAAAAAAGATAATTATAAAAAATAGAGATATGTATAGGGTAATAAACACAGAGAAGATGAATTAATCAGGTTAGAGTGAGGGGATACCGCTCTCCTGGGAGTGGAATAGGTACCTAATGCTAGACTATTCTCCCTCCCCTTCTGTATTAGTCCGTTTCACGCTACTGATAAAGACATACTTGAGATGAGACTGGGCAATTTACAAAGAAGTTTAATGGATTCACAGTTCCACCTGAGGAGGAACTCACAGTCACGAGGCTGAGGAGGCTTCACAATCATGGCAGAAGGTGAAAGGCACGTCTCACATGGTGGCAGACAAGAGAAGAAAATGAAAACCCAGTGAAAGGGCTTTCCCCTTATAAAACCATCAGATCTTGTGAGACTTATTCACTACCACGAGAATAGTTTGGGGGAATCCGCCCTCCTGATTCAGTTATCTCCCACTGGGTCCCTCTCGCAACACAAGGGAATTATGGGAGCTGCAATTCAAGATGAGATTTGGGTGGGGACACAGCCAAACCATATTACCTTCCATAAAAACTCCTAGGTTTAAATCACCCATTCTTTCTTCTGAAGCAACTATCTAAGTGTCACCCCCTCATTCTTTGTCAATTCTAGCTCTCAGCAAACTGTGACTCCTCACCACAACCCCTTCTTATTCTTGCTGACTTTAATGATCTTGATTAGAGCAGTAGATAATTCTTCTAGTTGGCCTCTCAGTTAGGTAACTCTAAACCCTCTATCTATTTCTGTGTCTAACTTCACACTTGCCAGCCCCTCCTATGTTTCAGCTCACTCTCTTCAGAACCCCAATTCCGAAATTCTTTTATTCTGCTGGGTCCTTCAGTCATAGTTTCACTCTTCCTCATTCACATCATGCCCTTACCTCTGCCCAGCACAAATTTCATAGTCATTTATGCTACTCCCTTACGTATTCATACTACCTGCATTTCACTCAATTAAATTCAACTCACATTCATGCAATCAAATGTGGCTACAGGAAACACCCAGCCACACTAACTGTGCTCATTTTAGATTCATGATCACTAACCTCAAGTCAGCTGGTAATGCTGCCTGACAATCTCGCTCTATCTTCTAAGTCTATTCACTCTCGATCCCTGCTATCTGACCATTCTATATTTTCTTCAAACTTATGTAGACTTCTTTCCTTGTCTTCATTTCCCATAACACTGAGAGAATTCAAGCAATTGGAAGATAATTTCCAGAGACTCCCACCTCCATATCTATCCATATCTATCCAGTGACATGACTTGGAGCCCATGTAGTCTACATTCTCTCCCGTTACTATCATCTGGTGTGATTGCTTGGTCCTGTCTTCTCAAAACACTTTCTTTATTTACTTTCTGGGACATTACATTCTTCTGACTTTCCTTCTGTTTTCCTAGCTGCCACTTCTCAGTCTCCTTTACTAGTTCCTCCTCATCTCTCAGGTCTCTGAATGTTAGAACCTCCAGAGCTCAGTCTTTGTATCTTTTCTCTATCGGCACTCACTTACTATGAAATCTCATGCAGTTCTATCTTTAAGTAGTACCTGTATGCTGGTGCCACGAGTGTACATCTCCAGAATTCCGTATGTAGATGTCAGCTCCCCATTGCCACTTGGATGTCTCCTGGGCATCTCAAATTTAGTAAGCTCAAAATTAAGCACTGGATATAACACCCACCCCTCAACCTAATCTTCCTGTTATCCTTCTTATCTCAACAAATGGCCATCTAATTTTTTTTAGTTTCTCAGGCCAAATACCCATGTCATGTTGGACTCTTCTTTTTCTCACTTTCCACATTCTGTCACCAAACACTGTCACCTCTTCCTTCAAAATGTGTCACTAATTCAGCAGCTTGCCAACAATCTCATTACTACCACTCTGGTCCAGATCACCATCAACCCTACCTGGAGGACTGCAAGAGGCCCCTAATTGACTTCCCTTCTTTTGCATTCTGTCCATATGGTCTATTCTCAGCACAGCAGCAAGAGTAATCCTGTTGCCCTAAACCTTCCAACAGCACCCCATGTCTCTCTGAGTAAAAGTCAAACCTGCAAGGTCTCTCACCTCTTTGAATTCCTCCCCTTATCCATCCTCCTCAATCACTTGCCTTAAACCACATTCTTCTCCTTACGATTATTGATATCGATCATGCCCGTTATAATCCCAACACAATATATTTGCACTTGCCTTTTCTAAGCCTCAGGTGTTTTTCCCCCAAGTCAACAAGACTAGCTCTCTTACTTCCTTCACGTCAAAACTCATCTTCTCAGTGAGGCCATTTCTGGACATCCTATCAAAATTGCACTCACGTACACAAACTCCCTAGGCCATTCGGTGTTTTTGTTTTCTCCTTTCCATTGATGGCCATCCAATATACTATATACTTTAATTCTTATTGTTTTTAAATTGTATGTCTGTCTTCCACACTAGAATGTAACCTCGATAGAGACGGGGGTTTCCTGTCTGTTGTGTTCCCTGCTGTATCCACAGTACTTGAACAGGGCTTGAGTAGGTGCTAAGTAAATATGCGTAAAATCAACAAAAGATTAGATGATGAATATTTTATTTTCCACGTAAATAACCTTCAAATAGGTAAAACAGCATCAATGAATGTTAATTTTTCAAAGAAACATGCAACACTCCAGTCCAAACGTCATCAAGCCTTGAATTTCTTCTACACTTTGCAATTATCTTCCCCTCAATGCATAAATACTTCTCATCAGCCTGTTGCTGTTTTCTAAACTTATTTAATGAACTTCTAAACATGAAAGTAATAATTATGAATGAAGATTATTTCAAAATATATGAATAATTTATAAGTCACATATACTCTACCACAATTAAGAATTAATGTATTTGTTTTTGTTGTCCCTCACTGTTGAAATCACCTTCCTTGTTGAGAATATTGGGCGGGGGGCCTTTTCTGGTAAAATATCCAGATACAATTTCTGCTTTGTTGAATGTAATGACTGTCAAACTGGATACTTGGCGAACAATCCTTTTTCTAGTGGCCATATTTGCATTGGTATTAATAAAAGACAATAGTCCCATCTCTTTAATAGGCAAATTGTTTTTTAAAATTTAGTTTTTTCCTAAGTTTACATATTGTTTCCTGAAAGTTTATTTATTTAGCTTTAAAAAAAATGAGAGTCTTACCGAGTCTGATGAACAGTGCATTACCCTGCTTTCTTGTGTTCCTGCTGTTGACCTTACTCTAGAATTAAGGCTAAAGCTGTTTTGGTCCATATTAATGAAGACAAATTTAGATTATCCTCAACTGTAAAAGTTGTGAGGTCATTGGCACATGGCCTACATTTGCCTCACACTCTTCTAGCCCTTACCTACCTGTTTTCTCCAAGTCCAATTCAAGTAGTCTCCTAATACTATAGGTAAAAGGAATTGTAAAATTTCAGAGGAACATGGATCTAAAAGATGGTCAAAGTTTCCATACCTCCCTGACCTGCCCACTTGCTTCTCATTCACCCACTTCCCTCTGTATTTATAAGAAATGCAGGCAGAGAGATTAAGTGAATGCAGACTGCTATGCATGGAGTTGGATACAAATAACTGAAGCATTAGGTATTATTTATTTTTCTGTATTTAATATTGCCCTAATAACTGTAAAATCAGGCTAAATTGCCACACATACCATGCATGACAGACATACTAATTTGCATTTTTGTCTATGGTAGCATAATTATGAAATTAAATTATCTCTTAGTGTTCATCTCTGCGAAATATAGTCTGCTGTATATTCTGATGTCAAATGGAAATTATTTTTTCCCCTGCCACTAACTGTGTTAGAGATCAAGAATCAACTTTGCTGTACTTTGGAACCTGAAAATAATGAAAAAAAAAAAGGACATTATTTTGTTTTCTTTTAATGTGCAGAATGGGCTGTCTCCACTACACATGGCTGCCCAGGGAGACCACGTGGAATGTGTGAAGCACCTGTTACAGCACAAGGCACCTGTTGATGATGTCACCCTAGACTACCTGACAGCCCTCCACGTTGCTGCGCACTGTGGCCACTACCGTGTAACCAAACTCCTTTTAGACAAGAGAGCCAATCCGAACGCCAGAGCCCTGGTAAACTTGGCCCAGTCCACATTAACTGAATACAGATTGAGACAAACAAACCCACATTCATTGACCAACATGCATACACCAGCAATGCAAGGTTACAGATATGTAGTTAATCCTGCTAAATTTGTCATCCTTCACAATCAGCCTGTGTACTTCATACATTCATAGTTTGTTAGCAAATGCTGGTGAGCAAAGATGTATTTAAGAGAACACCAATGTAACATTTCTGAAACTAGTGAGTTGCAAACAGATAGATATGAAACCTTTGGAGTGATAAGCAGTTTTAAATGGAAAATAGAAGTTGAAAAATAGGAAATTACAAAATAAATTCTAGATACCTCTAGATAAAGTTAGAACACGAGTATGAAAAGTTGAATTTATTAATCTCTTTTTGGAAAAAAAATTAATGGTGAATATATTTGACTATGTAAGGGGGTATAAAATGTAAGTCTATGCAGAGTTCAATTGAAAATTTTCATTGTTGACTTGATTACTCAACCATAGGCTAATAGAAAAGTTATGCCTAGTGTGTTACGGCTTCAGGGAGCATTTTATATACACCATTTCAGGAACTGCTCAAGAGAAAACTGCAAGAGGCTGTCCCTAGAGCAGCTTTATGTCTCCCCAGTTCTGATATTGAATAAGTCTTCCTTGCTTCACTTATTTTCTAACAATAATCATTGGAAGTATTAGACATGTACTAATTTATGCCTCTTGTGTCCTAATTCCCAAACTAAAAGTAAATCCTTTTTTTCTATGTGTTTACATGGTTTGTGTCTGTTAAAATTGGTCTTCAAACAATCAGTATTTAAGCTGAGAGACCATCATTAGAATCATCAAATATTAAATATGATTTTTACAAGAATTTTTCCATTGGAATCAATTTATTGATAATTACGTGGGAAGTGAATATATTTTCCAGATTATATGTAATTATGTGAAAACATTCATTTTGTCTAGGGAGTCAAAAACATTAATTTTTAATTGGATAGTGGTCAATAAGCTTATAAAATATCACAGCCTGTTAATTGCAAATATTTTAAGTGCTGCATGTGCATGTGGCTATTTATATCTGGCATGTTGTATAGCTCATAAACAGGGGAAATGACCTAACCAATTAATTATGTTTATCACTCTATTGTGAAAAATAAGAAGTCATCAGCTTAAGTAAGACCATATGCTTTCCTGAGAACTGCTAGTGTGTAAAAACGTTGACTGATGATTGGTCCATGTTGGGACATGCGAAATTGTTAGCTGGCAGAATAGACATAACAAAGGAACATTGTTGAAATAAAAAAAATATATAATACACGATGAGTAAGCACCGGGCCATTTAACATATTTTACTTAATTTGCCCCAATTCCTGGGCATTAGCCTAGTTCGCCAAGTTAGAAAGTACCTGACAGACTTCTTCTCCACATTTCTTTACCCCAGAGCTACCTCCTTGCATTTATCCCAGAAATTCTCCATACATTTCTTGAAAATATTCGAGAACTTAACAGTCATTTCTTTATACAATAAAATTTATCTCATTGGCATATATGTTATAAAAATGATATAAAAATATAGCTTCTGTATGTAAAAATGATCAACATAATGATTTCTGCTGACTAGAAATATGCCCTTTATAAAGAAAGTCGTAGCAAAGTTGAAATATTTCTTACAAAGGCAGTATATTCTTAGATTTTTTAAGTAGATGAATAATTCTTATGCTCTGAGAAATGGCCCTTCAGAAGAATATATGCTTATCTTCAGTTCATCTTCAAGTAATTTAATAACCAGGACAATCAATATACCTTAAAACATCTTAGAACTTCTAAAATGTAATTGCTTCTCTGTTTTTCTTTCTTTAAAGAGAAGGACCATGTATTTTTCTTCACTTTTGTTTTCCCTGTAACCACACAAACAGAATTACGTACAGGCCCACCACACATAAGTGAAGTTCAGTGCCTACAGGAACACATCACCATTTTTCTTTCCAAATTCCAACACCTGCAGGGATTGAAGAAATGGTAACATTATGTGACGATGTAACATTATTGCCTGCAATGTGCCAGCATGGAGTTGTGTGAGAATTGTTTCTGCATGTTTTCAACTAACTTGATTGTCTTTTGCACAGAATGGTTTTACTCCACTGCACATTGCCTGCAAGAAAAACCGCATCAAAGTCATGGAACTGCTGGTGAAATATGGGGCTTCAATCCAAGCTATAACAGAGGTAGAAAAATGTTTTAGCTAGTCACAAAGCATTCCTTCTCTTACTCCTTCCTCCCTTTCCTTTTTCTCATCTTCTGTCCTCTTCACTCAAGTTTTATTTATCTGAAGAAGCCCCAAAGCCCCACCGGTGCAGAGGAGTAAAACTGCTGTTGCTTTGTTTCGCAGTCTGGCCTCACACCAATACATGTGGCTGCCTTCATGGGCCACTTGAACATTGTCCTCCTTCTGCTGCAGAACGGAGCCTCTCCAGATGTCACTAACATTGTGAGTATGGCTTGGGTCAGAATAACCCCAGGGAGGAAGAGCGAGAGGAACAGAGATTGTGGGTGTGTGTATGTGTGTTTGCGTGTATGTCATCGAAGTAAGCAACCAAGCTTTGAGAAGGGCCCTTGTAATAACACATTATTGAAATAATCACCAGAACTTCACTGAAAAGAACCTGGATAGGGTAAGAGGTGTTATAAAGTAAAATGGAAGCTATGAAGTGAGACAGCTTAAGACTCTGGGTGTAGGTGGATTGAACATGCATCTTAAATGCATTTATTAAAACAAAATACATTTTAAAAGCTCCTCTGCAAGTGAATGGATAATTGGTTCGAATAGAATCTTTAGGGCTCAACCTAGTTGCTTGAGGGAATTGTATTCCAGGCAATTTTCACAAAAACATCAAATCATTACCATAATTAACCTTAACAAAAGATTAACCAGAGATAGATCAATATCAGAGACTTTTACTTCGTGTCAAACTCTTCCTTCTTCAATTACATGGATTTCCCATTTTGTAACATTACGTTGATTTTTACTTTTGATTTGATCTGATTTGCTAGAGTGGAGGCTTCTCTTAGCTGAAAGTTATACCACATATCCTGGAATGAATGTTGGTCTCCAGACCACTTTCATTCAATCAACAAGTACTGGATGTCTCAGAATTTTTCTATGTAATCTAAATTAGGATTTTCACTTCTAATTTCTTTGTATATCTCTCATTTTCTTGGATTTTCCCCCTTTAAACTTTGGTCATTGTATCAGGATAAATCATTGAATGCAAATGTTCTCCTGAGCAAGAGAACTTCTTTGCACAAGGTGCAGGCATGTATTTGAAGTTCAAGAAGGTCTAGTAGAGTATTGAGATTCACATGTGCACCAGAAATAACTCTCTCAAAATAAATAAGCTTATTATTAAAATGAGCTATGTTGTCAAAAGCAATTGATTGGCACTTGTTGCTAATTTTTGGCATCTCATTCCATTTAAGCTGTGAAAGAGAATGTCCAGTTTCACTTTTTATTTGTATTCTCTCTCATATTTCTTTTTTTCTGTATTTCACACACCATTTCCACAGTGAAGTTTCTGATGGCTAGGAAAATCCATTGTGAGAATTAATTCAATTGAGTTTAAAAATTATTTAATACTCTCTCTTCATGTTATTCAGTAATTGGAGCATAAAATCATTGAAGAATTTAAAGTCTATATTTATAAGTTTTCTTAATTATAGCTTATTGGTCCTAAGGTCATAATATTATATGCTAATCTTTATTTACTCCATTAGACATGAGAGTAATTTCACAATGTGCCAACATAAGTTTAATTTCTAGTCACTTCTTAGAACTTTAAAAGTAATCATCATCCCCCCCCTTTTTTTTTTGAGATGACTACCTTTTTTTTTCTTTTTTTTTTTTTTAATTGAGACCTGAACAGATTTACGTACAGGCCAGTAACATTAAAACAAAAAACAAACAACAACAACAGCAACCAACAAAAGAAACAAGCAAACAAACAAAAAACCGCTGTGTTCTTGCCCGCCTTTTCCTTTTTTATCTCCACCTATTCTTATTTGCATTCCAATGCTTATAGGATCAGAGGAGCAATAGTGACACTGTTACAATATGTTATCACATTATAATGATAACATGTACAAGAATATTCTGTGGGTTGCTTGATTGCAATCCCCTGAATTAATCTCTTTTAGTGGAGACTTTTACAAACTCTTCAAAGAATAATCCATATAAAATGGTTGTGGAATTTGTGGCCACTCTTACTTTGCTTCTTCACTGACCAATTCCAAATCTTCAGGTGGTTATGGAGTTATAATATACTCCCTTCTATTAAAAAAGTTATATGGGGTACATGTATATTTTCAAATAAAAATAAAATATTAATTGAAACAAACAATTTTGACATATTTTTCAGGTTGTTGAAGACTTTCAAATTTGACAATCATTATATTAAACTTCAGCTTCCAACTGTTGGTCATTTAAAGTTCTTCATTTTATCTGTTCATTTGTCCATTATATTATCTTTCCATCCAGCTCCCTCAAAACAAATTCTTGAGGGGCACATGCCAATATAATTTCCGTGTTTTCTAGTTATGTTTTGTAAGGTAGGTCCTTCAGGAAGCAGATACCTATTGATAGGGTTGCCAGGTAAAATATAGGACTCTCAGTTAAATTTAAATTTCAGATGAAAAATAAATTTTTATATATGACCCATGCAATAGTTAAGACATAGTAAAATAATTATTTGTTGTTTGTCTGGAATTAAAATTTAACTGGCTGTCCTGTACTTTTAATTGCTAAATCTGGCAATCCTACATTTAGAGGAATTTAACTTTCTCTAGCAGTGGGATGCCTGTGAAGTTGTGTTTTCTCAGAACATGAGGATATAGCTACTGGATCCAAAATTCTTTGCAAGTTGATGAAGAAACCGTGTGAACGCTGACTGCCTGCTTGCTGTGTCAGAGTTGGTCACTTCCTGACCCTAAAACACCCCACCCTTGGAGCCTTTGTGTGTTGCCTGAAATCATGTTGCATTTTTGAATGCAATGCTGTTTGTTGTGCTTCGATGCTTTTCAACTTGATGCGCCCAAAGTGGAAGTCAATGTAGCCCTGTCAGCAGAGTCAGTTTTAACAACTGAGAAGAGTGGCATGAAATTTAGTACCTGCTTTGGACATGAGCATACCCATTCTCTTGCTAGTTTTGTTTTTGCCTGAAAATTCACTCCAAGTGTGAGGTGTACCAGTAACTCAATCACGTATAGACATTTTTTTTTTAACTGAAAATCTCCTTTTCCAGAAGGTTTATTAATACGCTTTGAAACTTAGAATGCCGAACTGCCAATTACAACACATCCATAATCCAAAGTATTCATCAATAACCATAGGAATAGAAAACTAAGCATTTTAACAACTATCAAGAAAGAATGCAAGGTCTTACAAAGTTTTATCTTCCTTCCCATAAGAAATCAGTGGACTAATGGTAAAGTTCACACATTATATTATGCTTAAAAATTTCCCCGAATCCTTAAATTTCATTAGCTTGAGATAAGAAAGACAAGGCTATTAAATAAAATAGGGTGCCTGACAATCAAGACATGGAAATTATTTATTACAACAATATATCCTGATTTTCATTTTCTTATTTATTCTTATATATAAACAATGGTAATATTAACATAAAAGACTAATAAGGGCAACTTACAGTAGAAGTCCATTATGCCAGAGGTGTTAGATAATAATTAAACAAGACCATTATTATAAAGTGGAGAGACCATGTGTGTGTTTATACATAACCTTTGTTTGAATTTAAGCCTTAGTGCTTTAAATTAGATTCTATATCTAACTCATCAATTTCAAGTGTGTAAAACCCATAAAAAAAACTTAAGTATAAAATAAAGGTTTTAGAAATATTGGCCAGTATTGGAAACATTTCAGATTTTGAAAGCCCCTTATTGATAAAGCTTGGCTTAAAAAATAAACATGAAGGCCAAGCGTGGTGGTGGATGCCTGTAATCCCAGCTACTTGGGAGGCTGAGGCAGGAGAATCACTTGAACCAAAGAGGTGGAGGTTGCAATGAGCCTAGATTGCACCACTGCACTCCAGCCTGGGGTACAGAGTGAAACTTTGTCTCTACATAAATAAATAAATAATAAACATGAAAATTTGTCATTACATAGGAATTCCTGGGACCTCTTTGACTTTTAACTTCTTATACAGAAATTTATTCTTATCATCATTTCTACCAAAATTAGTAAAATTGCTAGCCTTTTATCAGACCTAGAAATAACGTAAAGATTTGAGGAGTATTGTTTTTGTTTTTCTGAGACACGACCTTGCCCTGTCACCTAAGCTGGAATACAGTGGGCAAGATTATGGCTCACTGCAGCCTCAACCTCCTAGGCACAGGCTATCCTCCTGCCTCAGCCTCCCAAGTAGCTGGAACTACAGGCATGCACCACTATGCCTGGCTAATTTATTTATTTATTTATTTAGAGAAGAGATCTTGCTATGTCTCCCACCCTGGTCTTGAATGCTTGACTTCAAGCAATACTCCTGCCTTGGCCTCCCAAAGTGCTGGGATTACAGGCTTGAGCCACTGCAACTGGTCTTGTTTTGTTTTGTTTGAATACCATCGGCCCTCTGTATCAGTAGCTTCTGTATCAGTGGGTTCTAAATCCATGGATTTAATCAATCTTGGATTGAAAATATTTGAAAAAATAAAAATAAAAAACTACAATAAAAATAACAAAAAATTTTAAAAAGTACAGTATAACAACTATATAGCATTTACATTGTGTTAGGTATTATAAGTAATATAGAGCTGAATTATACAGGATTATGTGCATAGGTTACTTGCAAATACTACACCATTTTATATAAAGGACTTGAGCATCCATGTATTTTGGTATTGGTGGGGGAAACAGGAGGCCTGGGACCAATCCCTCACCAATACAGAGGGACAACTGTAGTTAGAAGATTTTAGCCTTGCCGGGCACGGTGGCTCACACCTGTAATCCCAGCACTTTGGGAGGCCGAGGCGGGTGGATCACTAGGTCAGGAGTTCAAGACCAGCTTGACCAACATGATGAAACCCCATCTCTACTAAAATTACAAAAATTAGCTGGGCATGGTGGCGGGCACCTATAATCCCAGCTACTTGGGAGGCTGAGGCAGGAGAATCTATTGAACCCGGGAGGCTGAGGCTGCAGTGAGCCGAGATCATGCCACTGCACTCCAGCCTGGGAAACAGAGCAAGACTCTGTCTGAAAAAAAAAAAAAAAAAAAAAGAAGATCTTAGCCTCATCTATTTAGAGACAGGTTTTAAATGATATGGAAAACAAGTTAGAAATCATGATTGTCTGTCCAGGGAGGAAAAATCTTGTGATACATCTAAAGTCTGAAGATAAATATTAGCATTCCAATGATACATCGTTTTATAAAACAACATACTCCAGATACATTTACTTTACAAAAGTCTAAATCTGTTATCAGAAAATAAGCCCATTAGAGGATAAATGAGTCATCAACAAAGAAGAGAAAATTAGAGTAGATATCCAATTTAGTGCTTTCACAATCAAATCATTTGACATGAATTTCTCATAACTTCAAAAGAAATGGGTCTCCAAAATACTGAGAAAAAATTAACTGTGAACTATGTGCCAAATTAAAGTTCACCTTAAAGTTTCTAGATTTAAGGGTTTGTTGTACAAGGAATCAGAAGAAATTATTCTCTGCAGTTTGTCAATTACCACAACCAAATTTAAAATCAAATTTAGTTTATTTGGAATGGTTTACTTTACTTGGTTGAAATCATCCTTATCTTCTAGAACAGTTGTGGTAAATCAATCTGTAATAATTTTTATTCCAATATCTTATTCTAACTGTAAAATTACTTGAGTGAATGAAACCCTGCCTTCTTTAGAACTATATATGGTTTTAAAATATGCTGATTTTTAAAAACCTCTCTCTTAGAGACAGTAGAGTAATAACCGGCTACTTGATGAGAAAATTCTCTTAATCAAACCCTTGTTCTTCATGCTACACCTAAAGCCACCCTTTCCTGACAAATGTGTCATATTTTGGGGTAGAACAAAGATACCTGAGGCATGATGCATGGCCTACCTCAACAGATGACACTGCTGACAGTCACTTTATTCATCTTTCAGTGGCTCTCTCAAATAACTGTCTATAATTAAATATGCTCATTAATCTTAAATAGAGGACCTCCTGGGCAAATCAAATTTCTTGTCTGATCCATTTTTGTCTAGTCTCATAACACAAAAAAATCAGATACAAAATAATATTTTATTTCAGAAGGAAATTTTGAATCTTGAAATGATTTATTTATGGTATAAGTGGTATTAATTTTTTGCAACGTGTTGATCTTCAGCATCTAGTTTCTCACTGAAATAGATTCAAGTTGTGATCACATAGTTAAGTGAGACAATGACAGATTTTTAGGTTTTTAGGGTAAAAGAAAACTTCATCACCAAAATCAATTTAAAGGGATGCTTAAGCTGCTGATTGTGAAGTGAAACAACTCAAGAGTATCCTGGATGTTCGGATAAATTTACTAGTTTTTCATGGACTTGAAAAAATAAAATAAACATTCGTTTTATCCTTATAAAGATGGAGAAGAAAAATACAAAAATCAGCTGGGTGTGGTGGCAGGCACCTGTAGTCCCAGCTACTGGGGAGGCTGAGGCAAGAGAATCGCTTGAACCCTGGAGGTGGAGGTTGTGGTGAGCCGAGATGTTGCCATTGCACTCCAGCCTGAGCAACAAGAGTGAAACTTTGTCTCAAAAAAAAAAAAAAGATACAAATCTATATTTTCCAGACTAAATAATTATGCCTTTTCATAGGTTTCTTAAATCCTTGGATATATTGCTGAATTTCACAAAAAGGGACAACTTTATTCTTTACCATCCAGAGCGGTGGGTTAATTTATGATTTGACGATCTTTGTTCCCTGGCAGCGTGGTGAGACGGCACTACACATGGCAGCCCGAGCCGGGCAGGTGGAAGTGGTCCGATGCCTCCTGAGAAATGGTGCCCTTGTTGATGCCAGAGCCAGGGTAGGTACTGGTGCCCTGAGGTTCTCTTCTATCGCAGCGCATGAGTTTCATCCTTAAGAGAGGGTGTTGCCCTTCAGTTCCTTGATTTGGAAATACCAGGGACTGTAAGTGAAAGGATCAATTCAATAGCAGTTTTCCAGAAAAAAAAAAGAAACATTATTTAAGCAATTACACACGACGAAAAATGCACCCAAATTTCAGAAACATTAACATTTGAAAAAATGTAAAACTTATCATCTAAGAAATACATCGACTGATATTTTAATACTGTTTTAACCTCGGAAAGCACTTTCTCATATCTCTTTATTTTCATGAATTTTAAAATTTAACCTAAAGTATTTAGATGCTATACATATTAAAATTTATTTCTTACCACTTAAACCAATCACATTTCCACAGTCATCCCTCACTAGTTACATAAAATCAAGTTATTCTCCAAGTTTTAGTGTTTTTCCTTCATCTGTTTGCCTTCCCTCCTTTTTATGATATTTACTTTTCTTCTTACTCTGATTTTACAAATTTAGACATTCTGTATTTCCACAGTTCCAAAATAGAATTTGGGCACTGAAGATTGCTTGATCAGACTTGTCCTGTTTCTAATAGCTTGTAATTCCTTCACAAGTTTCTTTTTCCTTCTTTTTCTGTTTTTAAATCTTACTTTCCAATTTATTTTCTCACCTTCCTTTACATTGAATACACCAGAATGCACTGAATACACTATCAATATACTGTACCTTCTATTTCCTTTTCCATGTGGTTTGGTTAACTTTTGCACTGACATCATTGAGATTCTCATGTTAAATAATTTCCCTCCTTCTTCAATATTTGATATACCTAAGTTAGAGCTCATTTCAGTTTGAGTTGTACCATTATAATACAGTGTTATCTTGGAATGAAAGCATCTGGCTATGGTCATATAAATTGTAAGTGATTTCAGGCAGGTCACTTCACTTTCAAGTCTTTCTTTAAATTATTATTATACTTTAAGTTCTGGGATATATGTGCAGAATGTGCAGGTTTGTTACATAGGTATATATGTGCCATGGTGGTTTGCTGTACCCATCAACCCGTCATCTACATTATGTATTTCTCCTAATGCTATTTCTCCCCTAGCCCCCTACCCCCGACAGTCTCCAGTGTGTGATGTTCCCCTCCCTGTGTCCATGTGTTCTCATTGTTCAACTCCCACTTATGAGTGAGAACATGCAGTGTTTGGTTTTCTGTTTCTGTGTTAGTTTGCTGAGAATGATGGCTTCCAGCTTCATCCATGTCCTGCAAAGGACATGAACTCATTCTTTTTTAAGGCTGCATAGTATTCCATGGTGTATATGTGCCACATTTTCTTTATCCATTCTATCATTGGTGGGCATTTGGGTTGCTTCCAAGTCTTTGCTATTGTGAATAGTGCTGCAATAAACATATGTGTGCATGTGTCTTTATAGTAGAATGGCTTATAATCCTTTGGGTATATACCCAGTAATGGGATTGCTGGGTCAAATGGTATTTCTGGTTCTAGATCCATGAGTAATTGACACATTGTCTTCCACAATGGTTGAACTAATTTACACTCCCACTAACAGTGTAAAAGTGTTCCTATCTCTGCCAGGCATGGTGGCTCACCTCTGTAATCCCAGCACTTTGGAAGGCTGAGGTGAGCAGATCACCTGAGGTTGGGAGTTTGAGACCAGCCTGACCAACATGGAGAAACCCTGTCTCTACTGAAAATACAAAATTAGACTGCTATGGTGGCACATGCCTATAATCCCAGCTGCTCAGGTGGCTGAGGCAGGAGAATCTCTTGAACCCGGGAGGCGGAGGTTGCGGTGAGCTGAGATCGTGCCATTGCACTCCAGCCTGGGCAACAAGAGTGAAACTCTGTCTCAAAAAAAAAAAGCATTCATATCCTCTCCAGCATCTGTTGTTTCATGACTTTTAAATGATCACCATTCTAACTGGCATGAGATCATATCTCATTGTGGTTTTGATTTGCATTTCTCTAGTGACCAGTGATGATGAGCTTTTTCTCATATTTTGTTAGCCACATAAATATCTTCTTTTGAAAAGTGTCTGTTCATATCCTTCGCCGACTTTTCAATGGGGTTGTATGTTTTTTCTCGTAAATTTGTTTAAGTTCCTTGTCGATTCTGGATATTAGCCCTTTGTCAGATGGATAGATTGTAAAATTTTTCTCCCATTCTTTGGGTTGCTTGTTCACTCTGATGATAGTTTCTTTTGCTGTACAGAAGCTCTTTAGTTTAATTAGATCCCATTTGTCAATTTTGGTTTTTGTTGCCATGGCTTTTGGTGTTTTAGTCATGAAGTCTTTGCCCATGCCTATGTCCTGAATGGTATTGCCTAGTTTTCTTCTAGGATTTTTATGGCTTTAGGTCTTACATTTAAGTCTTTAATCCATCTTGAGTTAATTTTTGTATAAGACGTAAGAGAGGGGTCCAGTTTTAGTTTTCTGCATATGGCTAGCCAGTTTTCCCAACACCATTTATTAAATAGGGAATCCTTTTCCCATTGCTTGTTTCTGTCAGATTTGTCAAAGATCAGATGGTTGTAGATGTGTGGCATTTTTTCTGAGGCCTCTGTTCTGTTCCATTGGTCTATATATCTGTTTTGGTACCAGTACCATGCTGTTTTGGTTACTGTAGACTTGTAGTATAGTTCGAAGTCAGGTAGTGTGATGCCTCCAGCTTTATTCTTTTTGCTTAGGATTGTCTTGGCCATATGGGCTCTTTTTTGGTTCCATATGAAGTTTAAAGTAGTTTTTTCTAATTCTGTGAAGAAAATCAACGGTAGCTTGATGGGGATAGCATTGAATCTATAAATTTCTTTGGGCAGTATGGCTATTTTCACAATATTAATTCTTCTTATCCATGAGCATGGAATGTTTTTCTATTTATTTGTTTCTTCTCTTATTTCCTTGAGCAGTGGTCTGTAGTTATCCTTGAAGAGGTCCTTCACATCCCTTGTAAGTTGTATTCCTAGGTATTTTATTCTCTTTGTAGCAATTGTGAATGGGAATTTACTCATAATTTGCCTCTCTGTTTGTCTATTATTGGTGTACAGGAATGCTTGTAATTTTTGCACCTGGATGTTGTATCCTGAGACTTTGCTGAAGTTGCTTATCAGCTTTAGGAGATTTTGGGCTGAGATGATGGGGTTTTCAAAATATACAATCAAGTCATTTGCAAACAGAGACAATTTGACTTCCTCTCTTCCTATTTGAATACCCTTTATTTCCTCCCCTTGCCTGATTGCCCTGGCTAGAACTTCCAATACTATGTTGAATAGGAGTGGTGAGAGAGGGCATTCTTGTCTTGTGCAGCTTTTCAAAGGGAATACTTTCAGCTTTTGCCCATTCAGTATGATATTGGCTGTGGGTTTGTCATAAATGGCTCTTACTATTTTGAGATATGTTCCATCAATACCTAGTTTATTGAGAGTTTTTAGCATGAAGGGGTGTTGAATTTTATCAGTTTTTTCTACATCTATTGAGATTATCGTGTAGTTTTTGTCATTGGTTCTGTTTATGTGATGGGTTACATTTATTGATTTGCATATGTTGAACCAGTCCTGCATCCCAGGGATGAAGCTGACTTGATCGTGGTGGATAAGCTTTTTGATGTGCTGCTGGATTCAGTTTGCCAGTATTTTACTGAGGATTTTCGCATTGATGTTCATCAGGGATATTGTCCTGAAATTTTCTTTTTTTGTTGTGTCTCTGCCAGGTTTTGGTATCAGGATGATTCTGGCCTCATAAAATGAGTTATGGAGGAGTCTCTCTTTTTCTGTTGTTTGGAACAGTTTCAGAAGGAATGGTACCAGCTCCTCTTTGTACCTTTGGTAGAATTCAGCTGTGAATCCGTCTGGTCCTGGGCTTTTTTTGGTTGGTAGGCTAATTACTGCCTCAATTTTAGAACTTGTTATTGGTCTATTCAGGGATTCGACTTCTGCCTGGTTTAGTCTTGGGAGGGTGTATGTGTCCAGGAATTTATCCATTTCTTCTAGATTTTCTAGTTTATTGGTGTAGAGGCATTTATCGTATTCTCTGATGGTAGTTTGAATTTCTGTGGGGTCAGTGGTGATACTCAAGCCTCTGTAATGGCGGACGCCCCTCCCCCTACCACGCTGGAGCCTCCCAGATTAACTTCAGACTGCTGTGCTGGCAGCGAGAATTTCAAGCCAGTGGATCTTAGCTTGCTTGGCTCCCCTGGGGTGGGATCCACTGAGCTAGACCACTTGGCTTCCTGGCTTCAGCCCCCTTTCCAGGGGAGTGAACCGTTCTGTCTCACTGGCGTTCCAGGCGCCACGGTGGTATGAAAAAAAACTCCTGTAGCTAGCTCAATGTCTGCCCAAATGGCATCCCAGTTTTGTGCTTGAAACCCAGGGCCCTGGTGATGTAGGCACCCGAGGGAACCTCCTGGTCTGCAGGTTGCAAAGACCATGGGAAATGCGTAGTATCTGGGCCAGAGTGCACCATTCCTCATGGCACGGTCCCTCACGGCTTCCCTTGCCTAGGGGAGGGAGTTCCCTGACCCCTTGTGCTTTCCAGGTGAAGTGAAGCCCCACCCTGCTTTGGCTTGCCCTCCATGGGCTGCACCCACTGTCTAACCAATCCCAGTGAGATGAGCCAGATACCTCAGTTGGAAATGCATAAATCACCTGCCATCTGTGTTGATCTCGCTGGGATCTGCAGATGGGAGCTGTTCCTATTCAGCCATCTTGCCAGCCTCCGGCCACTTCCAAGTCTTTATCAGTAAAATATGAGGGTTGGACTCAGAAACTCAAAACTCCTTTCTAGACTTTCTTAACATTCTTTGATTCAATGAATTTAATAGACATTTTCTTGTAACAGGTTCCACAGATCTTCATGCAGAATCCAGTGATACACGGGTAGCCTTAACATTACTCTTGTTGTCTTGGTTTTCATCTGCCTTTCTGTGCATTGTCCACATAGTGTAATTTATGTTCTTTGGTAATCATCATTGATCTATTATATTCTTATCTATTTAAAGCTTTATTCAACCATGAGCTTCCCCTGCCATAACATTTTTCTGGTTTCCTTTTAAGGTTACCTGGCATTCAGCTATTTGAAAAATATTTTCTATGGTCAACCAGTGCACTCTGACTATCGTATACTTTACTGGAAATTGTGTTGATGTTCCTGTAAATTTTTTGTAATTCGTATTTAATAATGAAAGAGTTTCCCATTTCTGTCTTAAAGTAAAACCCCTTAATGTTTATTATTCAAATTAAAATTTCTACTTTTAATGGAAATTTATTCATTTTCATGTGTCTCTGCCAAATTTTTCTGTATTGATATAACCCATTATTACAACCTTTTATCTTTTTGGATACCCTCTGAAGCCTCTTCCTTAAAAGCACCACTGGCAACAGAGTCTTTCCTTTAAAATATTAATTAATTAGTTAATTTTACACAAAGATTTCATCAATTCTACTTTTTTACTTCTCTTTTGCAACTACATTTAGTATCATTAATACATATATAGCTACCTCTTAATTCCTTATTCCTTCTAATTTAAATATCAAATTTCAGATGTTATCTTTTGTTTATTTTTTTTCTTTTCAGCTCTACCTCCCATTCTAAGCTACAACTGAAATCCCTTCCCTATAGCATTTTCTATTGTGAACAAACAAAAATACTGTAGCCTTGTGAAGCAGTGCTCCCTAAAGGTCAATATGCATACAAATTACCTGGGCACCCTGCTAGAATGCATATTGTAAGTCAGTTCTGCATATTTAACAAACTCTCAGGTGATGTCAGGGCTGCTGATTTTGGGATTATGTTTCAAGCAGCAAGAAGTTAGGGTTTTCCTATTCATAAGTCCTATTTTAAAGCGTACTTTCACCATGTGTGTTTTATTGTCATTTAATCCTTTTAATGTGTTCCTGGGCCTCTGATTTAGTTAACATTTGAACAGTGCTTTAGAATTCATCAAGCATTTAAACACAAAGTGTCTTATTTGATACCCAGAGGATTCCTGTGTTGTAGGGTGGCTTAGCGTCCTGAAATTCAAGATTGTGCTGATTAACCTGTGGTGACAGAGTTAAGATAAGAAAAAGATTTCTCCTCTGATTCCGCATCTTTCTCCTAACTCTTTCTGCTAACGTCATTATCTCCCACTTCAAATGTAAAGAGAGCCCCTCTTCCTCCCATCCGAACAAACCACTGGTTTCTAATTAGTCACATTCTTTCCCTGAGCTTATGACTATGATCAGGATAAAAGATCAAGCTTGGGCTCATGCGCATTCATGCGGCCCATTTATGAGGTGGGATAAGAAGACCAGCAGCCCTTCTAGAACCACATGGAATATGGGATGTCCGTTTCCCCCAAATGAGGGATGGCTGTCCCAGAAGAAGGGTGCAGGGGGTATTGGGCAGAAAAATGAGCACATATCTGCTATTTTACCTCTTGATTTCTCACCGCACGCATGCGTGCACATGCACGCACAGACACACACACACACACACACACACTTTTGGAAACTTCCTCTCTAAACCTAATAACATTGCTCGAGAATTCACCCTCTCCCGAAGAAGAGATAGTAAAAAATTGTGCCAAGCTACTACATTGAGCTCCAAGGTTGAGATTGCTGCGTAGTTCACAATCTTCTCAATCAGGTTTAGAAATAATATCTCATGGGTCTAAGTCATATGTTTTGCCTATTCACAATATATAACAAAAGAAAAACCATATACTCATAATAACATCTGTAATTTTTAAAGTTCACGCAGAACACTCTATTCACCAGTCCAGAGCATAAGACACATTTTGCTGGACAGACTGGAGAGCAGGGGACCACAGTGGCCTCAGTTCCTCTGTCAGCCAATGTGTTTGCACCCAGGTCCTGCTCGCAGGAAGGTCCTTCCTTGTCCAGTGTCCTCAGTGGACATTACTGAGAAGGCCACCAGAGCCTGACCATCTGGGAGCTCTCTTGCTTTAGGAGCTGGTTCTGTTGGCACAATTACAGGGCTTGGCATTTGCTTTAGGGATCGAGCAATCCCAGGGGTCCTAGGCTTAAACTCACTTGAAACTTAGCTCATTTAGAACTTTAGTTAGATACTAGGAGATGTGGCTCCTGGGAACCCTGTTAGCTAGTAACTAGTAATAGAAATTTTATCAAATCTTTGAACTTTATCCCAGCCAGTGTTATTTTTCTCTTTGTAAAAGGAGCTGGGGCTCAGCAAGTCTCCAGAGTAAAATGGTAGACTGCAGTGGCAAAGCAGAGCTCACCTACTTCCGGTCCAGGCTGTGTCAGCCAGTGATGCTTTATGATGAGGGAATTGTTGCCTCTCATTTTTGGAAGAGGTCTATGTGATCAGGCTTCCCTCGTTTCTTTACCTTTTCCCATGAATCTTTTCTTCTGCACTTCCCCAATTCTTTTCCCTGGTTTAAATTAACATTACCCTTAAGCAGTAAATTCAACTTTTGCAATTCAGCAGGGAAATAATTGGCCAAACCTCAAAAAGTCTTATATCCCTGGTTACAGGTTGAAAGATTTTCTTTGCAAAATTTGCATGTTATTTCCTTTTCCACTTTCAGGTAAAGCTTTAGCAAAAATGGAAAAAAGTAGGCAAGACATCCTATTTTTTAACTTTTTTTTTTAAAGAAGAACATTAATGCTATACAGTCTAAGAACCAAGGATCAATAGTTAATAACTAACCAATTATGTAGCTACCTCTAGTCAATGATTGCCACTTCTCAGCTATGGATTAAAGAGTCATCATTGCTCCAACTATCCCTCTTACTCATGGAAAATCTATTTTAGAGTGTGTCACTTGCAATACCCACCCACCTTTATCAAATTTTGCAGGACAGAGATCTGAGAAGGGAACCCCAGAAACAACAAATGTTCATCATAGCTATTCTCAAGTTCCTTGGTTTTTAAATTGTTGTTTGTTTTGCTAACCATTTATTTTTATAAATAAAAATATGTTCATTTTATTTATAAATAAAAAATGTTTATTCTCCCAATTCCTCTATTTTTTTCCTCTGTATTTCAGAGAAATTTTATCTTCTAATGTGTTGTCAGTCTCCTTTCCTACTGAGAGTCACTTTGTTCCGACAGGTCTGTTAGTGGCCATCTTATTGTAGTATCTGTTTCCAAAGAATGTATAGGCAGAGAAATGTCTTTAGAATCCAATGCCCTGAATTCAAGTTCTGTTTTAATAGCTGAGTAACCTTGGACAATCTTTGAGAACTTGTTTAATTTTTCTTAATATTGACCTGGAAAATGGTCTAATAATACATTTTATGCTTTCCTTTTAACTCTGTTAGAAAGATGGGTCACATATGCATTGTACATGAAGAAAGGTTTTCAATTGCAAATGTTCACAAAATTTCAATTCTAGTCTAAAATAATCATATTACTGTTATTTATTTACTTCTTACTACCTTGGAATTCATGCAGTGCTATTTTATCTCTTCCTATAGCTCCTCTTCTTTTTTCTTATAACTTTAAGATACTGCATGTTTTTGGATAGATCTTTCTTCCTCTATATACTTTTCTCCATTCATTCTTAGCCCTGAAAGTCAGCCCAGTTTTCCCTTCCTCACTTTTATTATGACATGCCCTTGGGCAGATAGTAAAGATATACCTCTTTTTATCACTAAAGTTACACTCAATTTTCTTTTTACAAGAGAATGGTTTGGCCTGGTTCTCTAAACACTGAAAACATTATTTCCAACTACACTTCAGAGTCAGGTGATTTTCCTGAGCCTCCTGGAACATGTCCTTCCTGTCCCTTAGACCCAGCTATATCCTCTGTTTTTAATGGAAAGTACTTGGCAAATAGTTCACCCTATTTGCTTTTTGCCAGAGCCCCATTTCATTTTTTAAGTTCTGGATGCAAGTTCCAGAACTATCTACAGCATTTTCTGAAACATCTTTTAAAACCAGATTACAATATCTTCTTTGTGCACTGTTTCTCCTTGAAGAAAATGACCAGCATTTGTATCCTTGGCTTGCTGAATGGAGTAAAATCAAAGATTTTCCAGCATCCCTGGTTCTTTTTCTTTGAAAGAGTTCCCAGAATAAATCCTGTTTCTAAGTGAAAACTCTTGGATGAGAATATAGGTCCTAGGACTTTTGGACTAGATTTTATTCTTATTCCAAACCATCAGTTAGTTTATATTTAAACATAAGTGAGGCCTAAAGCCTTAATGAGTTGAGAAATATTTCAGAAAGCAGTGATCAAGTTCATGGAAGTATATGCTTTTTAAAAATCAAAGGGAGACTTTGTGACCAACAGGGTCACTGCTGTAGCAAAATATAAAATATGCCATGGTTAAAGCAGTAATGATTTTCTTTTGGGTGGGGTTCCTAGAGATTCCAAGAAGACATCATGAAATATGTGAGTGAAACATATCACCAGTGAAGTTCTGTCTGCCCGGCACTAACTTTTTACTTGGCTTGAGTTGTAGGAGGAACAGACACCTTTACATATTGCCTCCCGCCTGGGTAAGACAGAAATTGTCCAGCTGCTTCTACAACATATGGCTCATCCAGATGCGGCCACTACAAATGGGTACACACCACTGCACATCTCTGCCCGGGAGGGCCAGGTGGATGTGGCATCAGTCCTATTGGAAGCAGGAGCAGCCCACTCCTTAGCTACCAAGGTAAGGAGAATGACATCATGAGAACATGGACCAAGAGGATTCCTAAGTCATGGCCTTTCTGCTCTACCACATACAGAATCAAGAGGGTAGATCTCCTCAGGCCTTGACTTACTTCCTTCTCTACATATTTAAGACTCATTGTCTAAATGATTTAATAGAATTGTGAGATTCCGTATATCTTCAATAAAGAGTGCTGAATTTCATTCTAATTAATGCCAATGTTTCTAGGACAGGTATCTAGTACTCTAAGATGATTTTCACTTTTTCTTCTCTTTTATTATAAAATCCATAATATATTCTTAAGAAAAAGATAAATGAAATCCCTAAATATATTGAACTGGTAATACTAATGAGGAAGAGGGTACTGCATTAGATTGGCAGTACTATATTTGCTGTGAGTTATAGTACCAGATCGAAGCTCAATTTACTTGTACATTTTCGCAACCCTACTATTAGCCACCACTTATTTGACATTCTCATTCCCATATTAGTTTCCAACTTTACCAACTACACTTTTGCCTGGGTATTTACAGTGTTTAAAGAGAGCTGAAGCTGGAAAATCACACTTCTTTAGTTGTTATTGACATCGAGCAAAGAATTTTACTTATGTTCCAAGTTTCATGACAGGGCAGAGTAATTTTTCCCATGCTTTATACATGCTGTTTGACATTCATAATTTGGAGATGACTTAGAATAAAACATGAATATACTCAGCTAATTAGAGCAAAATTAATTGAGCCAGTGCAAGTGAATTTGTCATGGGGCAAAATAATTCCCACAAATGTAACAGTGATTCAGATTAATGAAAGGACAATTTCAATTCTCTCATAATCAGTAGGTATAAGTACTTCATCCAGGGAGAGGGAAAGTTGCAAATTTAAACTGAGATAGTGATGTGGCATCTGTCCTCTTGTAAGTAGGAGCAGCCCACTAGCTGTTATGGCTTATCTGGTTGCCTGTTATGACTTACCTGGTTGCCTATGGCTGTAAAAGGTATTTTGATATAAGAAATTGACAATTATTGAAGTTCTGAACTCTGAAAAGTTGGAAGGATTTTAAAAGTTCTTAAAAAAAAAAAAAACTAAGCAACAAATGTAGTAATAACCTGAGAGATTTGGTGATTGTCTTATCAGAGGAGGGTGTAAATCATCAAAATTAAGATACATAAAATACAGAAATAGATAATAAAACGTAGTCTTTTGTCTGTCAAAGATATTTAGGATTTAAAAAATATAACTATATCCATGGTAAATTAGGGCGATAAAATAGAATAAAATGTTAAACAGTGTTTTTTTTTTTTTTTTTTTTTTGAGACGGAGTCTCGCTCTGTCGCCCAGGCTGGAGTACAGTGGTGCGATCTTGGCTCACTGCAACCTCTGCCTCCCGGGTTCAAGCGATTCTTCTGCCTCAGCCTCCCGAGTAGCTGGGACTACAGGTGCCCTCCACCACACCCAGCTAAATTTTTGTATTTTTAGTAGAGACGGGGTTTCACTGTGTTAGCCAGGATGGACTCGATCTCCTGACCTCGTGACCCACCCACCTCGGCCTCCTAAAGTGCTGGGATTACAGGAGTGAGCCACTGCACCCGGCCAAACAGCATTTTAAGAGTTCAGCTGACTAGGGCTGAACAGTGGTTGATTCATCATTATTAAAGACATTTAAGAGGGTAAATGAAATCTTGGTGAGATTAACATAAAGGAAGAAGGCAGATGTGTGACTCAAGAGATGCCTTCTAACTTTGGTTTTGTTATTCTACAGTAGATTTTATGTATTTTTGTCTAATAATCATTTCCAAACTTATAAGAGTTGGATCACTATTCTAGCAAGACTTTAAAGATAAGGAGTTTATGTTTTCTTCCTCATGATGCAGTTAGCCTCAAAGAACTCTGTTTCATCCTGAGTATCACCCTAATCATTGTGTGCATTGAGTGGAGGGAGGAGAGCTCTAACCACAAATGCTGGTTTATATGGACAATGCAAGAAGGAATAAATACTTCCTACGTTTGTCCCACACTTGGAAAAAACCAGAAGATTCGCTCTCTTCCAAGGATTTATTAATACCAAATGTTCAAAAAAGAAGCAAAAAGAAAAACGTCATCTCATTTAAAAATAATTTGTCTGGAGACACCGAAAGGGCAATATTGCTTCTTGGGGGATATTCTGTGTTTATGATGGGGGCTTAAATGGTTCCAGGATAAGCCATGGCTTAGAGCACCTAACCCAGGCATATTTGCTATGTGTTTTACAGGCCCTGATCGGTGTTAGAATTCCCCCACTCCCACTGTAGTGCCAGAAGAGCATGTGGTTAAACTGTCTGGCCAAGAGGATGGATTTGACATCATGGTGTAGGAACTGTGCCATCCTCGAGATCTTAGTCCAGAGACTTATCTGTATTTATAACACACTGCTAATTACAGAGTAAGGCCATTGGTTAGGCACGGAAGACACTGAATGTACACATATCAACATGTGTAGGAGAGCAGCCCTCTAAAAAAAGCTCTAAAGCTTCAGTGTGTTTAAAAGTCTGGTGTTAATCAGCCCAACATCATGCCAGAAGTAGAACGTATTTTACAAAAGCAATTGGTCTTTTAGACAGTGTGAGTCTTTTGGGAAAGGGGACAAGTCAGGATGGGAGTTGCTTTTTAATAGTACATGTTTTTTGTTCTATAGACCATTTATCTTGCCATTTCTGCAGAAAATATGTCAACTAATTCACGAATACTTGTTTTTACTATGGCTGCCAAAATATCCTAAAATTTAAATGAATTTGGAATTCAGGTGTTATAAAAAGGATTGAAAGAAAGAGAAGGAGGGTTGGAGAGAAGGCAGCTGTTGTTTCAATTCTATTAATTTTAGAGGCAAGAAAAGGCTTTTTTTCCCCATTCACAAATTGGAGCCAGTTTACTGACACTAGTGGCTTTTAAAAATCCCAAACCTATAAAGTCAGATTTCAGTCTCCAAGCCCTTAAAATAAAATTTCTTTTATTCAGTCTATCAAGCCAAACTTTTGTATGTTAAATTGTATTCTTTTTCTTTGTCCTTGTTCATGGCTAACAGATTTAATGCTACCAGTATTTTTTCCAAATGAAGAATCAGTATACTTTGCTCAATATGTTAACAAATAAAAAGATTTTTTGAGGAGTTACAACAATAAATACGATTTTACTTTTGTTTCTCACATTTTCAGAAGGGTTTTACTCCCCTGCATGTAGCAGCCAAGTATGGAAGCCTGGATGTGGCAAAACTTCTCTTGCAACGCCGTGCTGCCGCAGATTCTGCAGGGAAGGTAAAGATTTTCTATACGTTATAATTATGTAACAGTGAAGGTGATAGATTAGGAGATCTGTAAAGACATTTTTCTCACTTCTCTGAAAGGAATGTGAGAGCAACTGATGAAACTATCCCAAATAGACATGGTGGCGATGTCTTCCATGACCGTCCAGGTACATACACACTGATTCAGAAAGCATTTTGAGCTGTGCCTCAAAGTCTTGTCACAACAGCCCCAGAAAGTCTCTATATTAAGAAGAATCCCTGCAATGTTAATGTAGTATTTCTTACATAGCAGTTTAGACCTTTTTACATTGTGACCCTCAAGATCCCCTTTGCTGGTGGTATGCTCATTTTCAATTTTAGTTATGTTTTTAATATGAAAATTATTAGGGATTTGTTTATTTTCGTTCTTTTTTCTATTGACTATATTAATTCATTAACATGAATTTAATCAATATCAGTTTCCAGGCATCCTGGTAGCTTCAGGGCAGCTAACCCTAATTTATTAATGCTGAAACTTAAACACACCCTTTACAGAACGGCCTTACCCCGCTCCATGTTGCTGCTCATTATGACAACCAGAAGGTGGCGCTGCTGTTACTGGAGAAGGGTGCTTCCCCTCATGCCACTGCCAAGGTGAGGACCACAGAAAAGGATTTACAGGCATAGGGTGTAACTATCGCCTGAAAACACATGAGAATTGTCTTTTAAACACATGGTATAGTATAACTGCGACTAGTCCTAGCGATAGTAGCTTTTGGTATTGACACCCTTTTTTTTCCCTTGTATTTCTGCCAGTTGCGTCTTGAAAATCTTTTTTAAGATTTTTTAAGAGTCAGCAAATATTAAGGGGATGTGCCTATAAACCAGTAGAGATGAATCTTATTGCTAACATTCTGTGTGTTAGAGAATGAAGTCTGAATTTTGAGAACTGAGAAATAAAGTCATTAACATATTTTCTCTTCTCTCCTATAAACCAAATGCTATGATGAAAATGTCCTTTTATACTCTCATTCTTTCCGACTTCAAACTTCTATTTGTTTCTTTGTCTTTTTTTTTAATGTTTTACCTGTGTTAACTGTAGCATGGATCCCTCTAAGTCCCTAGATTCAGAGGTGGTGGGAGGATGCCTTTTTGGTGTATATCTAGCACCAAATTCCGAAACAGCTCCAACTAAGACTTGTACTTACGGACAGGGCATTTCCCACCATTCTAGTTGGCCCCTTATTACACTGAAAATATATATGAATGTCGTATAATGCATAAAGTCCTCATTGCGTCTTTCGTTCATTAATTAAGCACAGCTATTTTGAGAACACATCAGGGTTTATTTAAAAAATATTGATTGTAATGGGAAAATATTTATGCTATATTAGACAATATAATAAAAAAACTGCCACCATTTATTTGCCAAACACTATGCCGAGCACTTTACAGGCAATATCTCATAATAACCCCATGAGACTGGTATTCTAATGATCTCCGTTTTGCAGATGAGAAGGTGAGATTTAAGTAGGTTAATTTTCCAAAGTCATATGAATAATAAGTGTTAGAGCTTGTACCTGTGTTTGACCTCAGGCAGACTGACTTTAGAGCCGGTGCTCTTAACCACTAGGTCCTTTGTGCCCCAAAGCAATAGAGGGAGATTTATTCCACTTCTGTTATACAAATATATACATATATACTCATATGCCTATTTAAATTTTATACATATTATAAATAAAAAATAGGATATATACATAAAATATGTTCTGTATAATATATATTTTATATATAAATATATTATATATATCATAAATATATAACTTTGTACACATACATACATATACATCTACATATATTTATATCTTTTTGATGCCAATAAACAGTTTATAATAAAGTACTTGAACTGTCAAAAGAGGGTGCCAAATGTTCATAATTATCCACACTGTTCTTACTCCTCTTTTTTCTACAACCTCATCAATTCAGCACATATTTTATGTCTTTCTTTACACTAGATTATAAGCTACTAGAGGAGTGTTCATATCATATTCATTTGCATATCTATGAGGTGTTTAATAACATATGTGAGTTCCCAATAAATTTGGATGAAAGAATGAAGATTGAGCAACTATGGAATAAAAATATACCTGCTCACTTAACATACCAGCATTTTTTTTTTCATTAGCTTTCCAGGCTGACCATTCTCAACATAGATACAAAAGACTTCATTAGTACTCATGAGTACTTTCGTTGAACTCTTACAATGTGCAAAGAAAGGATTATAGGTACTCAATGGGAGGTAAAATTGTAAAACGTGTGTTCTCTTTCCACAAGGGACTCTCAATCTACTTGTAAGAGAAGACCTAGATTATAAAATAATGTGTATAGTTTTCCTAAGGAGATAAACATAGCCTTGATTTCTAGCCTCTACCTTGTATGGTCCTTAATCTTAGGCATGCACGTACCGAGTTCAGAAGATGACATAAAGCATTTGTCTACTCCAGAGTCCACAGTAGGATGGGTATTCTGGGAATGCCTCTCTAGTGTCTTTCACTTATCTGCCCCAGCCTGTCAATGAACATGAGCCCTTCATCTTTGGGGCCACTCCTAGAGGGCTCCAGATGGTAAGATCCCCACTGTAGTCTCCACTTTAGACTCTCTTTCTGCTCATTATAATGTCTCCTCTCCTTAATACACACGGTCCTTTGGCCACGAGAACTTTGCTTCTTTCCACCAGAGTCCAGAACCTTCTCTTAGTCTTTATTGGGAGTGCTGCAATTATTTGAGTCCAAAAATGTTTCCTCTTTGTGGAGTAAGAGGGCTTTTCAGATCTTGTAGGTTGAGTATCTACCAGGCAAACCTCCTCCATTGCCAGAATTGACACCTTCTTTGATGATCGCTTATGTTGTTTTGCTAAAATATCCCTGTACCTAACCTTAGTAGAGCCCATGCTGTAGGCAGTGGGGTAACTAAGACTAAAGAAACACATTGTAGCAAAAAGAAGTTGACTAAACTTATTTGGTCCACAAAAATCTGTGTGTCCTTTTTTTCAATAGAGTCTATGGACACAAATACAGTATTTTGAAGCATCTGGGACCTCTGATCAGACCCTGAAAAGGCTTCCAAGCTGAATTTCCTTCAGTTGCTTCAGGAGAAACATTGTTTGTCAAAAATGAAAGATACTTATTCTTGCTTGGAGAAATGGGGACAGAGTAGATAATGTAGGGTTGTGTGAGGATCAAGATTTGATGATAGCTCATAAAGACATTTAAATTCTCAAAACACTTTTTTATTTTTTGGTACACTTTGCAGTTAGCTTTAAGGAAATAGCATGACCTAAAAATACCTCTCAAGTTTGATTACAGGCTCAAACCTGTAATCCCAGCACTTTAGGGGGCCAAGGTGGGCAGATCGCTTGAGCTCATGAGTTTGAGACCAGCCTGGGCAACATGGTGAAACCCCATCTCTACCAAAAATACAAAAAAATTAGCCAGTCATGGTGGTGTGTGCCTGGAGTCCTCGGTACTTAGGATGCTGAGGTGGGAGGATCACTTGAGCCCAGGAGGTGGAGGTTGCAGTGACTGAGATGGCACCACTGCGCTCCAGTCTTGGTGATGGAGCCATACCTTGTCTCAACAAATAAATAAATAAAACATCTCATGGTAATCTCACAAGAAGCACTTGGTCATTATGCTCTCTTTCCCTTCAGCATGTCACTGAAGGGAAAAGCCACTGTTTTTAATTTCTATCACACATTTTGAATGGAAAATTCTACCGGATTTGATAAAGAAAAGGAAATAAAACAATATATGTTGCAGACTTACAGTTGTTCCACATTTTTTTCTTTTAACTAAACATGGGGTATAGAGTTTTGTTCTTGTAAGCAGAGTATGAGTTTTCCTGTCCCTCTCCACAAACTCCCGCCCGAAATAAGTAGCCTCATATTTGTACTTTCAAAGCAGCAGGTTATAAAGAAGGGGAGATCTAGGATTTGAATGGACCACAAGATTCATATAAGCTAATTTTGTTGTTGAATATATTTTAAATTAGAATGCAACCCATTAAAGACAGGGATCATGTCATGTTCACCATTGTATTCCCACACCTAGCACACTGCTCGGCATATTCTAGGCACTCAGTAATATTTGTTGAACCAGTTTAAAGTACAATCCAAACAGAAGCATATTAGTTGGAGTATTATAGTAAGATAATAGAAATAATTCCATTTGATTCTTTATGTTATAACCATATGTGAAGTGTAGCCTTGGTTCCAGATAGCACACACAATTCAAGAGCAATATTGACAAACTAGAATCAGCTCAGAACAGGTCATCCTTATAGGGAGAGATCTAGAAATGGCACTTCCATCAGGAATGGTTGAAGGAATGGAGAAAATTAACCTGGAAAACAGAAAACTAAAGGTGGATATGAAAATCATCCCCAGTATTTAAAGGATGGTCATGTAGAAGAGGAACCTGGCTTATCCTATGTTGCTTTTCAGGAGAGAAGCAATATTATAAGGAGAGAATTTTTAGTTCTGGAGCTTTGATGTCTATATCTGTCTTACAGTAGAATGGGGTGCCTTGTGACTTTTATTGTAGAGATTCGGTTATTGTTGAATGGAAACGTGATGAGTAAGAGTTTGGATTAACTGTAAACTCACTTTTAACTCTTCTATTGATTAGAGATTTTTATTTCCTTTAGAGATACGTATTAGAGCAATTGTTAATCTTACTCTATATGCATGTGTTTTATTTTTGTTCTTTTTAGAATGGCTATACTCCGTTACATATTGCTGCCAAGAAGAATCAAATGCAGATAGCTTCCACACTCCTGAACTATGGAGCAGAGACAAACATTGTGACAAAGCAAGGAGTAACTCCACTCCATCTGGCCTCGCAGGAGGGGCACACAGATATGGTTACCTTGCTTCTGGATAAGGGAGCCAATATCCACATGTCAACTAAGGTATTCTGTCCTTTCTTGCATCAATCAAGAGTGTTTTGGATGCATGTAAACAGGAACCAATCGCAGACAGTTTGGAACAAAAAGGAGCAATGTATTAAAAAGAAACAGGGATATCTTACAGACCCCAAGGACAGGAAGGGAGTCAAGCCTTATGAGAGATTAGAAAACCATAAGGAAGCAAGGGAGAGAGACTCTCTGTATGGCAACACTTTGGCTTCTTGACTTTTCTATGCAAGTCAGTTTCATTCATCTCTACATCCCCGCTTTCCTTGCTTTTCTCTGTGTGTCTAAAGAGGCTACCCTGTAGCTCCCAATGTTAACATCACTATAATTGCTCCAGTGTCTGCTGCTCCTCATTCTAAATTTCATATGTATAGAGAGAGAAAGAATGCTTCCATCTGGGGTTTAGCTTAAACAACTGCCTCTAAACTGGCAGGCCGATGTTCACCACCCAAGGCATTCTTTAGTCCTGCTGGGCATCTGAGGCACCTATGGATAGGAGAGAGGAAACTCAATAAAATACAGATTTTTTTCCATCAACGTAGGCCTAGCTTGAGAGGTTTGGTGGTGGTGGTGAGAAAATCATTTTTTTTTAATAAAGCACATCAGTCATTTTAGCCTTTCTCCAGGGACTGGCCTCTATAGACCTCCGCATTAATTATAATACAATGGCAGTCAAAGATATAATGGAAAAATATTCAAATATAAAAATATATATTTTTACAAGTATATGTCTTTTGATACATCTATCCATCCATCTACATAAAGACCTATAGATCCATCTATCTAACTTTCTATCTTACACTTATATATATGCTGCTATAGCCAGCTGCTGAGAAACACAGAATTGGAAACTGTATTTATTAAGTTGGTCTGTCATTTGATGTCTTGATGCTTTTTGTAATACATTATATGAGCTTAGTGAAAATTACGTTTCTTAGCTCCTTCCATAAATATACAAATACTCTATGTTTTCTACATTTCATTGTTAGTTGGTACTTTTAAAGTATCAGTGATAAGTTGGTCTTAATGACATTTGTAAATAGGTTATGTAGCATGCATCCTTCAGGAAGAGCTATGAAACAGGCAGATTGCCTTGAATACTTCTGCAGTCCTAGTCTATTTTCTTGTCACTCAGAAGTGTTCCTGTACATCCCCTGCCCTTACGTACTTCTCTGGCCTTTATAAAAAGTCCCCACAAATCCTTTTTTAAAGCACGATGAGAGCAAATTATAGGGTTAGTCTTCCAAAGGATAGTTGCATTTTTATAAGAACGAACACGATAAAGCCTTATAGTGAAATTCCGTGTATCAGATGGACAATCATTACAGTCTAGGGCATGGGCGTCCTTGTGACTGTTGACGTCATGTCATTCAGGTGGTCATTTACCCTGTTGGAGAAAATGTGATCATGAAGCATAGAATATTTTATTTAGTATTAGTGTATGAAGGGGGCATGTGTTTACTCTATTAATAACAAATAAATCTTCATTTGAAAATCAGCCAAAGAAATCCATAAACAATTCAGCAGTATTTTGAGTAGGATTAAAATTCCAGATAGTTCATGAAACTGATCTTACAGTGCTTCTGATGGTGTTATTTTTAATTTATAAAAATGACAAGTACATATCTGAAATCAGTTCACTATGTCCTCCTTTACGGTATTCTTCTAAATACATTACTTTCTTTGACAGCGTTTTATCAGTTAGCAAACATTTAAGGAGTATTTTTTAGTTGCACACTCAGCAATGAAGAAAAACATTCAATTTTGAATCACAAAGTAATTTTGTTATCTTTATAACAATGATTTCAGTATTACATGTGAGTGGTGTCCTAAACACATAGTATGTTTATCACTAGAGTAAAACTTTAGTAAGTTTACACAGATATATCTGAATAATAATACAATATACAAAATTTACATAAAACATATAACCTTGCCTTTTGGTTAGAATTATAAGATAATGCAACTATAAAAATATCTCAGATAAGCAGCAAAACTGATAAAATAATTTCCCATTGCTTTTGAAGAAAACATATATTCTTTTCTTTTTAAGGCCAACTCAATAATTTCATAGTCTCCAAATGATTATTTCACATTAGGAACTATAATATAGAAGTGATATTATAATCATTGTCCAAACACCATCTATCATAAAATAAAACCAAAAAAGATCCGTCGTTGGGTCCACCAGTGTGTCTTAGGAAATAAATTACTTTTTTTGAAAAGAACTTCAACACTTTCTATTTTCTTGATTTATTAGAAAAGTTTTTTTTTTTTTTCCAGAAACCTTTCAAACAGTGTTTTTCCTCTATTCTCACACCTACCACACAACAATCATCAACACAGAAGACTTCTGTGACCAAATGCGGAGAGGTTTTCCCCACATACCAAGCAGCACACACCAGCTGGTGTCCTCCAATTCAGTTCTAACACTGTCTATCTGGAGAGAGTGTTAGATCCCTTCAGTTGAGGGCTCAGTCCCCAAGACTGCCCTCTGCACAGACACCAATCACAAGTCTGGGCCTCTGAACTTCTGACCTACTGGCTTCAAGTTGGGGTTCCCAGGACACTCCCTTTGAGTTCCATTAATTCACTGGAGTGGCTCACAGAGCTCACAGAAACACTTACATTCACAGTGCTTACAGTTTCTTATAAAGGCTATTACAAAGGATGAAGATGAGGAGACACATAGGGCAAGGTATGAGGGAAGGCACACAGCTTCCATGCCCTTCCTGGGTGCACCACCCTCCACAAGGAAGCTCCAAGTGTTCAGCTATCCAGAAGCTCCCCGAGCCCTGTCCTCTGGAATTTATGGAAGCTTCATGATGTCAGCATTCATTCCCCCAGGATATAGGATGGGACTGTCTCTCTCAGGAGGGTCTTATGATCCACAAATGCTGGGAGGGAAGATTAGAGCCTAGCCTTAGGGAAAGTGAAAGGAGGCCGGGGGAAGGTGGGAGATATTTTGTTTCCTGAGGCCTGGCCCTGAGGCCTAAAACGCACAACGTTATAACAAAAGACTGTAATAACGGCTATGGGAGTTATGAGACAGCAACTGTGGACAAAAACCTATATTCACTGCAGTTTACATCCTTTGATTTGGATATGCAAGTTTACCACAATAAACTGCAGAGATTTTCATACTGGTTGTTAGTTTGTAATCTTGCATTGCAGAAAATCCATTCTGCAAATAGAGCAGAAAAAAGCACACATATTTAAAAGTCATCAAAAATGTCTTTGAGATTTGATGATCACTTCATGTGATGATCACTTCAATAACATTTTTAAACAGACTATCTCTGTAAAGAGAAATATTCTGTTTGTTATTTTAGTAAGGAGAAAATTAAGAAAGAATCTTGTTTTATCCTAATATTCACATTTTTTATACATTAGGATTAAATAATATTTGTTTAGAAGTGAAGAAAATTTTAATAGAAAAGGATACACCTTCTATCTCACCCTGTGTTTTACGAAACTCAAAGTTGAGCTCACCCAGAGCTCTCAGGATTAAAAAGCTCCAGGCCCACAAGGAAAAAGCCTCCTCTCACGTTGTAGAATGGTTTTCTCTCTCTAGGTTTCACTTACATTTTTGAAATAAGGTCAGTGTCCTTTTTGATTTCCAGAAGTAGCACCATGGCTGGAGATCATGAATTTTGAAGAACATGGCTTAGCTTTCTCAGCCTAAGTGCTAATGCAGGAGAGTGGGCCTGAAAAGTTGTGGTCAACAGGGCTGGTCAATTTTAATCAGATGTGAACTGGGGAAGAGGTGCTGACTCAGAGCCCAGGTAGCCACCTCAGTCTATAGCTGCAGGATGTCCAGGAAGAGCATAAATATACTAGGCATTTGAACAATAGTGAGGGGAGAGAAATATACAGTATAAATATACTGTAGGCTAGAATGTAAGCTCCATAAAGACAGAAACTTTTGTTCACTGCTGTATTCAAGTGCCTAGAATATGAACACTTCATGACATATGAAACATACTCAAGAAAACACCCGTAAACATGTAAGGCTACCAGAGTGTGACATTGGCTGAATAAGCCACTTTCCCCCATCTTTTCTCCATGCCTTTCTTTTTTTATTATTAATTCATAACTGTACCTTAATTGGATATTCAAATAATTACTTGATGTATATATACCAAACATGTTGCATAAAGCTGAGCAGTTGATGGTGCTGTATAAATAATGAGGTTACTTTAAGGTAATGTTTAGAGGAACCTCCTGAAAAGTATACCCTCTTTGGGTGCTGGAGAAAGTTTTTCTGAACTCATTTCCTGTAACTGTCCATTTTTTACACTGATGTGATATTTTGTTGATAAAATATAGATGATTATTATGCTTATAAAATAGGTGTAATAGTTGGTTGATCAGCTATTTAAATAAATAAGTTGATACAGCGGGACATCCAGATGGATTTGAAATACATGCCATTTGAAAGCTTATTGGCTGTGCTATTTTAAAGTCTCACATCATAATATAAGAACCCATTATAGAAAATAGAAAATGTAATTTGCCTGATGTGTTGATTGACTTAGAGGACATGTCTTAGAGGAAACACCATTAATTTAGAGAGTTTGCCTTGAATATCAGAAGATATAGTTTCTGGGAAGAGGCTATGAGTTTTCCAGGATATTTTCAATATTTTCAATATTTTTTCATAATATTATAGATGATGCAATGTATTTTCTTCTTCAACTGTATCCCTTTGGTTCCATTCTTTCTGTAGAGTGGACTCACATCCTTACACCTTGCAGCCCAGGAAGATAAAGTGAATGTTGCTGATATTCTCACCAAGCATGGAGCTGATCAGGATGCTCATACAAAGGTAAAGCAAATCACTCTCAGTATTGTGACAGGTTCTGGCTGGGATGATTCCCAGTAGCCCCCATTCGGGTCACCCCATGTCCAGGGTCTTCCCTCCTCAAGAGTCCATTCTGAAATATAAACTAATCATAACCCTCTCCTATGCACAAATCTATGGTGGCTCCCCATTTTTTGCTAGAATCAAGTCCAGTGGATAGCATGAGGTCAGGACCCTTTGCAGGAAGACTCCAATTTTGCAGCCTTAAGTCTATCCTCTCTCTTACTGCTTTAGCTAGTTCACATGACTTGCTGCGTTCCTCTTCTATTTGCTCATCTCCATGCCCTTGGTCTGGAAATGGATTTTCCCTCTCTATGCCATAAAATTCTTACCCATTCTTTAAGCCTGCTGTAGCTACATGTTTCCTGCATCTCCTATCAGAGTCATTCTGTCTTTGCTGTTTTCAGATATTATTTATGCCTCTCTCTTAGTTCTTTGCAGATTTTGTCACCCACATCTGATCTCTCTTGCTGATATGAAGTTCCCTGTGGTCAGGGGCACATATATAATCTGCTAAATAATATCTTTAGTCAAATGGAATCCTATAATAACTGATACTCTACCCAGTCCTTCTCCTCTGGGGTATTAACCACTAGAGTAGTAAAGTTTCTACTTTATCTATTTTTAACTTTTTATTATTATTTACAGCTTGGTTACACACCTTTAATTGTGGCCTGTCACTATGGAAATGTGAAAATGGTCAACTTTCTTCTGAAGCAGGGAGCAAATGTTAACGCAAAAACCAAGGTAAAGTACTTGTGGTCATTTTCAATTCCTATAAGCAAAAAGGTTCAGCCATCTGGATGCTTCACTAGTTTACCAAAGCTACAAGTGTATTTTTTTCTTCCTTTTTAGTTCTAAAGTGATTTTGACGAGGTGATGTAGTTTTGTAATTATTTGAGAATTTTCATTCTAATAACTTTGACATCCATGAAGGTTAGCTTCGAACTACTTCTATTATAAAGTTAAAGTAGCTGACATCGATTTAACAACTTACTGCAGGATACAATAGATGCCGGCTAGAACATCTTGATGTTCTGGCAGATTTCCTTTACATTGTTTCAGTGGCTTGGCCCCCCTCCCCTGACCCCTTCTCCTCTCATGAAGAAATACAGACAGTCAGCCTAGACTGCGTGCCTTTCATTTTTAATGAACTCTGTCACATTCAGAACATCACATGGACATGCTCAGTGAGGCAATAATGTATAAGGCCTGGGCTGGAAGTTCTCAAGGATAATGCAGAGCTGACTTGATCCCAGCAGTTTCCCCAGTGGCATTTGAAAGGTCCTATTCAGCAAAGCAAGGTTGGAACATAACACTTTACTTCGTGCACTCAATGTGGTTCAAGGTGAATAGAAGTTCATATTGTAACTGTGGCTATTATGCATACTATAACTTGCAGCTCCAAGTTCTTTGATCCAAAGAAATATTTGTTTGCACATTTATTTAAGTTCATATATCAGAAATTTCTTTTTCTTTTTTTTTTTTTTTTTTAAGACAGGGTCTTACTCTGTTGCCCAGGCTGGAAAGCAATGGCACGATCAGAGCTCACTGCAGTCTAGAACCTGGGCTCAAGTCATTCTCTTGCCTCAGGACTGGCTAGGACTATAGGTGCATGACACCATGCCCGGCTAATTTTTAAAAGTTTTTGTAGAGATGAGGTTTCACTGTGTTGCCTAGGCTGGTCTCGAACTCCTGGGCTCAAGCGAAATTCTCCCACCTTGGCCAACCAAAGTGCTGGGATTACAAGTGTGAGCCACCAAGCCTGGCCCAGAAATTTCTGACTGCAGCTATTTGAATGGGCTCAAGTAAATTAGTGTGAGCACATTCAGGACTTTTCAAAGCCATCATTCAAGATTCTATAAATTAAAAATATACAGAAGTTTTATAAGTCAGTCTTTATATTCTCTTAGAAGCAGAAACAAAATCATTTCTATACATAAGCATGTTTATAGCTAATTTAAAATAAACTTATTTTTAAACTATAAATAATACTATTAACATTTAAGATTTAAACTTATAATCTTACTCTAGCAAGAATAGCTTGCTGCCTAGTTTCTGACCAGTTCTTAAGTTCTCATGAAATTGAACTTTGAGACTTATTTAAAGCCTCTAATATGAATTCTCAGGCATTAGCTCCTAAAGCCTTTTCTGATGAGCCAGCTCCCATATAAGCACTCCAGGAAAGACATTTTGGTTGGAATCCAAGTATTCTCTTGAAATGAACAAATGCAACAGTACAGTGAGATGTTGGCAGGGCTTGAAAATGCTTATCATATTTTTAAATGTTTCATTGTTGAAATGGTTATAATATTTAGTAGGCAAACACTATATTGTCTAGAGAATATCAATGGTCTCCCTGGAGTTTGACCTGCACTGAATGAAGATTTGATTGAAAGAAAAATCTCATTTTATCATTTCAGTTTTTTTTGTTTTTTTTTTTTTAAGTGAACTAAGTTGCTTGCAGTGTTACATTTGGAACCATATATCTTTAGGGAAATAGATACAAACCTCAAAGGACAGTCTTTTAATAAACTCTTCAGATTTTTTTTCACATGAAAATGACATCTTTGGGAAAGGAATTAGGTTTTCTTCCTCATATCTTATGTGTAGCTGTAGTTACTAAAAATGGATTCATTGCTTTAAAAATGTAAACATATACATTAACTTTACTCTGTAAACTCTCATGATGTGGTATAAAAGATTTGGCAAAATTAACTTGTTTTATAAGACTATTTGTTGCTTAAAATTAGAATGAAACCCTGTTATAGCAACTTGGGACGAACCAGACCTGGTTAATCATATATTTAATTTGTGAAGAGGGTTTAGAACAGCACATGAAAAAAATTGTATTTATTAAAGACACTGTGAAGATTATAGAGCTCTTCAATTAGAAAAACAAACAAACAAACAAACAGAATGAAAACAACACCACCAAAGTGATTGCTAAAATTTTGAAAGCTAGAAAATAAAACATATTCATGAACAACTTATCTTATCCTTCATCAAACTTGAAATCTTGGCCATTTCCATTTTTCAAATGAGGAAACTGGGGCTTAGAGAGGATTAAGGGTTTGCAAATGATTGGTAGCACTGGGTCTAGAGCTCCTAGCCAGATGGGCCTATGACAGTGGATTAAGAATCAACCAAATGTTTACGTAAACACTTCTGAATTGCTCCAGACTTCCCTGGCAAATATCCTCACTGGGGATTTCAGGTAAAGGTTAGATTAAATCAGGGCTGGGGAACATTTTTGTGGCCACAATGTCCACTGATCTATTGAGGGCAAGAACGTTGCTTTGGCATTATTAATTTACATATATTTATAGATAATTTAGGTTTGTTTATATATTATAGTGATATATTATTTTATTAATTTACATGCTAAGTTATTTAGCACATAGTGTGTGATTAGTAAATGCTTGTTGAATGAATTAACTTGGCTGATACTGAAAAGATGAACTAAATTCAATGGATTTAATGGATGTAAACACAACAAAAAGGAAGAATTTTTACAAAAAGAAGTATCGCTTAGTGTATTCTCCTCAAATGTCCATGGATTATCTGATTTGACCGCAGAGTCCCTGTAATAGCCAAAGGCTTCTTGGAGTCCCTGTAATTGATTTATATTTTCAGGTTTCCTGGGGTCATCCCATTGTAGGGATTTATAAGGAGATGTAAGACTTCCAACATGACAGAGTTGAGGATGTGCCACACTTAGAGACACTTAGGTAACCCTGATACATGTGGGCATGTTCCTATGGGCAGACAGAGTGCAGTGAATTTATAAAGAAATCATGTAGCACCCACATCTATAGTAGACAGAACAAGCAAATATGTATGTTGCTCACAGGGCAGCAGTGACATTGGATGAAAGGGGTATGTACACTTAAAAGCTTAGAGTATGAAAGGGCCACTCAGAACTTAGAGCCCAGGACAACTGGGTCTGAAACATATAGATAAAATTTTATGAGAAGTGAAGCAGGTGGATTTTAATAAATAATAGCCATTGTCTGGTAGCCATTGGCTGTCATAGTCTTCTGCACAGGATCTGAACCTCGCCCGATTGTGGAGAAATTACTTAACTTTCTTATTTTCAGTTTCATCACGTCTGAAATGGGGAGAAAAGCTGTTCTTGGAAAGGAATATAAGATTTAGATTTACTTTCAATGATTTAGAATCCCTAAAGCTAAGCCAAAGGTTAATTATTAGGAGAGTCATGATGAACAAGCAGTGGTTTATATGACCCTCTGCAACCTTCAGTTAAAAACAATTTTAACTCTTGTTTCCCAGGGAAGAAATCACAGATAATGCTGTTTTCTTATTTTAAATCTCTCTTCTCAGCTCAGATGTGAGCAGAAGTCGACTGCACCCACCCCCTTCACCTTCTTAAGGGAGCCCTCCTTTTTAATGCTAACTGGTTAAAATGTAATAATAGTTATCATTTGGAGTCTGTTAATCTTGTTTCATCAGCTGGTCTCTTCTCTTTGCTTAGCAGACCATAAGGTGTGAGGGAGTGTTTGCTGCTGAGAAATGGGTTGCTGATCATCTTGGGCTCCAAATAAAGCATCTGTGATGGTTTTGTTGTAAATAAGACTATTCAAAATGAAGGCTAACCTAATTTTCCTCTCCCTCTGCCAATCGGGTGCTGGGCCCGCCACCACTGTCCTCCACAGAACGGCTACACGCCTTTGCACCAGGCCGCTCAGCAGGGTCACACGCACATCATCAACGTCCTGCTCCAGCATGGGGCCAAGCCCAACGCCACCACTGCGGTAAGGCAGACGCCACTGCCCCTCACCACGCTTTCTTCTTTTTCCTCTCTTGCCCTGGTGGCTTCTTGTCTGAGCTGAGTGAGGTCAGATTCCTCCTCTTTAAATAAGCCCCCTGGACTCTGGAAAGCCCCAGATTTTTGGGCAGGCTTTCCAGAAGTCAGTGTGACTTCCCCAGAAGTGCTTGCCCTGGGAGGGAAAGCAGTCAGCCTGACTCTTTGGCTCTCTCTGGAGACGGGGGCCCTCCGCTTGGGCTGCTGGAACGTGCTCTGCTTACAGCTGGCTCTCAGATGTGAGCACAAATTGACCCCCCCTCGCCTTCTTAAGGGAGCACAGTAAGGGAGCTGCTAGCTTAAACAAAGCTCATTGAGTTGTGGAGCCATTGAAATGTAAACTAAGCGGTGCAATTAAACGAACTGGGATCCCGAGTGGCCTGGGTTGGATGCAGCCCGAATTGCTTGCCTGTGTTATTTTGCTGCACAGTGAGCTTCTGCACAGCTGTAGCTAAATATGTTACCGTGTTCCCGATGGTAACATCTTACCTGCAGCAGATGGCCTGACTTCTGATGAGGGATAAGTGTACCTGGTACTTGCTAACAGGTTTTGGAGACGTCATGAGGCACTTTCTTAAGTGCAATACAGTATTTGTAGAAGATATTTGACAACCTTAGGGTTAAAGCGTCAAGTGCTTCTTATTAAAAAGAGCAAGCAGATGCAAGCTTGTTGTGTTACCATGGTGACCTGGCCTATAGTCTGAAGAAGTTACAAAGACAGATTTAGACGTAATGGTAAAAACTAGTGATTTTCCTAAGCTGTGCCTTGTTTTGGAAGGAAATGCTGGCTGATGCAGAGCAGCGGGTGAGCTCATTGGCTCACATCGCAGTCCTCTCTCTTATTTCTCACTCTCTCTCTTTCACTCTCTCTTCAGAATGGCAACACTGCCTTGGCGATTGCTAAGCGTCTGGGCTACATCTCCGTGGTCGACACCCTGAAGGTTGTGACTGAGGAGGTCACCACCACCACCACAGTGAGTATGAGTGACTGACTAGCTTCAGCCCTGTTATTCTTCGTTTTCAAACTAAATACATGTACAGTACTTTTTCACTCACAAGATGTTTGGAGCTTTTAGTTTTGAACTTCTTTTTGTTGAAAGTATTGTAGCACATACATAGGCGTATGCAGAAGTAAATGGATTCACACAAGGAATACAGGGCTTCGGCTTCCTTTACTCAGCATCTATCCCTATAAAAATGTGTGAATATAGTTTTATAATATTTAATTCCTTTTTCTGTGACTGGCTTCTTATTTTCTGGCTTCTGTGCCCTTTCCTTTAGTTGTGTGTGACACCTACCGCTGGCAAAGCGGTAACACACTCCACTGCAAACTTACCTTAGCCAGGAGGTCAGGCCAGCCTCTGGAAAGACCCTGCTCCTCCCAACACTGTGCTCATGACTGGATCAAATGGACTCCCAGTGAGAGCAATTCATCCTTACTTTGCATCTTATTTCTGATTATTATTTTTTAATTCAAAAAGAGAATTCCTTGTGCTTTCTAGGTAAATTGTTTCTGTGTTGTGAAAAAGTATATTTTAAAATTTCTTATTTTCTCTGTTTTGAATACAACTGCTGACTCTTCATGACAAATCAGTGATTATCACTGGCCTTTGCTAGAGAAACTCTAGAAGAGTAAAGACCATGACAATATTGAGTCCTAATGCTCCTGTACCATTCAGTGGGAGCAAAGTTTAAAGGAGCCTCCTGAGAGGGGGCTCCTACCTGAAAGTGGAAGTGCTATTATATTTGCATTTATTCACTCACTAACTTTCTACTTTAAGCATGGATTAAAGAATGGCTCTTTAATTTAGCTTCGTAAAGTAGAAAAGTAGAACAGTACGACATGAGAAGCTCTTCAAAGACAATAAAACCACAAATGAACAAATAAAGAATTCTGAAGGAGGTTCTAGTAAATGCTCCAAACTAAAAATGCATATAGAGTTTGAAATGCTTGGTGTTTTTGACAGATGTGAGGAAAAAGAAAGGAATTTTGTTCTTCAGGCTGACAGTAAGTTCCTGTTGACATATATTGAAGTGATGGAATACAGTTGGTTTAACGTGCAGTTTTAAGCAGAGTGGCCTATGATTTATTAATGAGCTGCAAGACACAAACTGAATTTAGATGGGAAAGAATAGCACTGCTTGTTTTCTGAAGCAGAATCTTAAAACCTTCAGCCAGTTCACCACAATATTTTTAAAGATTTAAGGTATAGCTTTGATAAATTATATAGGAGAAAAACAGGTCTTGTCACTGCCTAGCACCATACTTGTAGGTCACTATATTTAATGGCTTTTTCTTATTTTATGATTTCTTATACCAGGAAAATCTTCATATTAAGGGCCTACACATATATGCCACTTCATTTGATATCTTTAAAACAAGGTGTACATCACAATACGTGAAGCCTTTAGTGGCAAGATTGGCCAAGCACACCTGTTCTGCCATTAGAAGTCATGTTTTCTCTCAACTTTTTACCTTTTCCCTGCTCTGGGAATAATGTATGTTTATTTTACCAAGTTATCACTAGATGGCAAGCTTGTATCTCTTGCTATCTTGTACCTACTTTGCTTCCATTCATTTCATTAACTGATTTATTCCTTCATTATTTATTGGATATAAAATATGTGCTAAGTTCTGTGCTAAGTGCTGAAGAATTATCAGTGGTGAAAACATTACTCCTCCCCACCAGCAACTTCAGTGTCATGAGAGTAGAGAATGAGACTCAGGCTTGGTAAGAAAATACATTCATATTTTACTCAACAAAACTATGGAACTTATATGTCTGGTTTCAAAGAGATCTCAGGTTTGTAGATATTACTCAGGTGAATGACTTCAAACAAAGATCTATATTTAAAAAGAAGAGCAAATAAGCATTCTCTGGTTTGTCTCTAAATACTGTAATTGCTGTCTCAGTGTCCTTGTCAGAAATCAGATACAAGATCATCTCTCTACCACATCTATCTCTGGAAAAGATGGGATGAAAATTCCTTTTAGAACCCCCTCTGTGAGCTTTTTTTCTTTTCTGGTAACTATTATTCTCTACATTCTGTAGCTGAGCATTGCTCCATCAAAAGTCGCTATACTTAGAATTCAAGTTTCTAGGTGAAAAGCCAATAAAAATAGAAAACATAACAGCATTTCTCCTTTCAGTTAGGACACTAAGAAATCATTGTCCACATGAGCTAAACAAGTATCTCTGTTACCTAAATGGATAGTTTTAATGGTTACATGTTTCGATGCTGGTCTCTCTTCACTGTCTGCTGCTCTTTGAACTGGTTTCTCTTATAATTGTGAGCTTAATTGTTTTGTGAAATGGAATTTTGGGGTAAGGATTGGAAGAATAGACTTATTCTCATCTATTCTGGGAGTCTTCTTACAATAAACTTCCTCTCTTTGGAAAGAGATTTTCAATCATTCTTTTCCCACATAATATTTTTTCCACATAATGTATTGTTAATGATATTAAAAACAGTAATATTTAAGTTTAAAAATATGTAAGGCATTGAGGGAAGATCTAAGCTTCAGATTTAGGTTGTCGGGTTTTAAAGCCCATGTTCTTAACCTTTCTGATATAACTGACTTTGGTTTTGCTGAAAATAGCTTAATAGGAATTTTGTGAAGAAACTGTTTTCACCTAATTTTCAACAAAAAGAAAAACCACTTAAATAGTGCTCTTTATTGATTTTTGTGGGAGAGTGATATTCAATATCATTTTCTAAAATCTACAGTCACAAAAATAATTTGAAACTACTGATGATAGCACAATAGACAACTTAATAGTTAAGTAAAATTAATAAAAGTTAATGTTATTACCGCTCAAATGCAACAGTTGCATTACACCTGCACAACTGACATACTAATTTAACATGAATTGGATTTGTATGATGTGCCATATGAGCAACCATGTAGTCCTTTTGATCAAAGAAAGTTTCCTTTCCTATTCTTTCTTTTGAGTTCTTTACCCCAAAGTATGAATAAAGTCGTTGTGTAGAGACCAGAATAAGGCAGTAGTTTGTAAAGGAAAAACCACTTCTGTAGAAACTTCTGAGACATTTTGGAATCGTAGTTTGTTTCCTTAACCTTTGCTTTTCTAACTTTACTTTGTGAGATACAGCAGGGAATATGAGACATTTTAGCATTCTCCTGGGATTACAATCACTACATGTTTGCCAGAATGGATATCAGAATGGTAGAGACACATTTCTGGTGACAGAAGCCAACAAGCCCAATCCACTAATGCAGCTTGGAAGAACTGTGACATATGACTCATCCTTCCGCTAATTGATCAACCATCATCAATTATTTCTATTATTTGTATAATCTTAAAGTGATTGTGTTTTATGTTGCATATAATTGGTATGCAGACCATAAATTACTGAATAAATTAGTAAAATAAAAATATTATCTTATATTATTACTTGAACATTAGGGAATAGTTCAGTAAACTCAGAAAATGTGAATATTCTAAGTCCTAAATCTTACCTGATGCCATAAGTCAGTTAACATGAAAATCAGGGGAGGAGGGGATAGAGGAGTTGTCTAATGGGTACAAAAATACAGTCAGATAGAAGGAGTAAGATCTAGTGTTAGGCAGCACAGCAGGCTAACTATAGTTAACTAAAATGTATATTTCAACATAACTAGAGAAGTGGATTTGGAATGTCCCCAAATCCACTGGGGAGGCATTTTGGCCTCCCAAAATGATAGGATTACAGGCCTGAGCCCCCGCTGTGTATTTTCTTAAAAAGACATACTTAGTGCAGAATCTTTTTAAACTTTTGACATGTTTTTTCAACCTGTTATAATTGTCTCAATTACATCTAATTGGGTATTACTTTCAGTGACTCACCTTTGTTAGGACTTTAAAAAGAAATGATAAATGTTTGAGGTGATGGATATCCCAATTACCCTGATTTGATCATTATACTTATGTTTATATCAAAATATCACTTGTACCCCGTAAGTATGTACAACTGTGTATCCACAACAATTTAAAAATTTTAAAAATAGGAGCCATAAAAATGGCAATACAATAAATACTTGTAAAGTCATTTGACACCTTTTGAGGTAGAGCCAAGATCTTTTCTTTAAATATAGGTCCATCGATTAGAAATTAAATTGCCATTCTTGCACAAACAATATCAATACCTATTATATTATGTATATATATGCTATAATATGTATATTTATATGATATTTGTATGTTCTGTGTACTTTCCTTTTCTTTCTTTTTTTTTGAGACAGGATCTCACGCTGTTGCCCAGGCTGAAGTGTAGTGGTACTATCACGGTTCACTGCAGCTCAGGTGATCCTCCCATCTTAGCTTCCAGAGTAACAGGGACTACTCGGGAGTAGTAGGTGGGCAGGTGCCACCACTCCTGGCTAATTTTTGTATTGTTTTGTAGAGACGGGGTTTTGCCACGTTGTCCAGGCTCGTCTCAAACGATCCACCTGCCTTGGCCTCCCAAAATGCTAGGATTACAGTCCTGAGCCCCTGCTGTGTATTTTCTTAAAAAGACATACTTAGTGCAGAATCTTTTTAGACTTTTGACATGTTTTTTCAACCTGTTATAATTGTCTCAATTACATCTAATTGGGTATTACTTTCAGTGACTCACCTTTGTTAGGACTTCAAAAAACATCTACCCTAGTTTTTCTAGAAAAAAAACAGTATTTACATAATATTTAATTTAGTTATTAAAGTTATATTAATATGTATGATTGGTATAAGTATGTTTAGAAACAAAAACAAGTTTAGCTTGAACTCCACTGATGGAAGCTATGGATGAGGGCCTTAAAAGGTGGCATCATAACCAAGATCACTAAGTATGCTGTGGTGGCTTAGGGATTATGTGATATAAATGCAATTGGTGACCAGGAGGATTGGCTGAGTGAGGGTTGGCTAAGTGAAGATCAGTTAAACACACAGTTTCTTTTGCATAGAACAAATCAGATATTGACTACTATTTGTAAAGCAGAATGTTAAGAACTCCTACTTTATTTTCTACATTTTTCATATCGTGATTAACAATATAAATTCATTATTAAATCTCTCTTCCATCTATTATATACCATTTCTTTTGCCATATTATCCGATTTAATTATATCCCATTAAACTTGTACTTAGTGTCCTACTCATTTTAACTTTTAAAGTAGTTTCTAATCTTGACCATAGTATCTTGGATTCTGTAGCAGAAAGAGATGTCCATGATCATTTCACTATAGCCTTGTTCTCTATGTACGATTCAGAGGTAGTTGCATAAAACCATGTTTATGTTTAAATAATCAAGTTTTCAAAGGACATTTTGTTTAAAAGGAAAATATGTATTCATTTCTTGTTACATTATACATATGTAGGACTACTTATTTTCCATCCATTCAACAAATATTTAATGATGGCCTTCTAAAGGTCAAATACCTTCTCATGTATAAATGATATTATATTTACCACATTGCATATAGAGGCCATTTTTAATATCTATACAGAAAAATATCCATGACCAATATGATCACAGTGTATTACTTTTTCTGTTGCCACATATATTTGCTGATAATTCTGATAGCATTCAGTGACCAAACTGAAGTAAATTATTGTTTCCACTCTTACAAGTACAAAGAAAATATAGTCCCATTATCAGCACCTGAAAATAGAAACTGAGACTATCAGGCAATGAAACTTAATCATTTAAAAAGTATCTCCAGTAATTATTTTCAAACAGAGAATCATCTCCTTATTGAAATGTTTACTACGAAGGACAAATACTCTAAAACATTTCTGCAAAAATTAACTTTCTAATACAGTCTAATATAGTAGACATCCTTTCACATTTTTAAATATTCCCAAAAAGTTGAATAAAGGTCAGCCGCGGTAGCTCACATCTGTAATACCAGCACTTTGGGAGGCCGAGGTAGGTGGATCACCTGACGTCAAGTGTTCGAGACCAGCCAGGCCAACATGGTGAAGCCCCATCTCTACTACAAATACACAAATGAGCCAGGCGTGCTGGTGCACACCTGTAATCCCAGCTATTTGGGAGGCTGAGGCAGGAGAATGGCTTGAACCTGGAAGGCGGAGGTTGCAGTGAGCTGAGATCGTGCCATTGCACTCCAGCCTGGGCAACAAGAGTGAAACGACATCTCAAAAAAAAAAAAAAAAAAGTTGAATAAGATTTCATAGTAGGGTAGTCTCTATGTTATATTTTAAATGCAAATCATTTTCCTGCAATTTATATACTTTCCCTAATACAGGAAAATGAATCTCAAATTGAGCTGTGCAATAAACCCACCTAAGGAACCTTTAAAAAATACCCTGGTCCCCATTATAGCTGGGCCCGATCCCTATGGATTTTGATTTAATTGGTCTATGATGGGACCCAAGCAACAATATTTTTTAAATGTTTCTAATAATTGTAATATGTAGCTATAGTTGAATACCACTAATACAGAATATGGGCTATAATTTATTGGTGTTAAATTTCTAAATTAAAATTTATAATATTAAAATAATAATCAAATTGTATATTATAATAGTCTTTTTGAGTTTGTTCATTCAACAAATATTTATCAACCACTACTATTCTCCAGATTTTTGGATGGATACTTTTGTTTTTCCTGCAGCATTTAGTTTGCTTTCAGTGAATAAGACTCTGAATAAAACTATTTAAATATCACTAGAAATATGCAGGCAAGCTGAATTTACAACCCTTGCCTCCAACTGTGCCTTCATGTGAGTAGCAGGAGACTTTCTTTACTTTCTCTGTTTCTTCCTGTCTTTTAACTAAAATTCCACCCAAAGACAATCCATTTCATCATGATATGGATTTTAAATTTATTTTTTGCATAATTTAGTATTAACAAGTTTTTGATATATATTTGAAAAGCTCCTGCTATGTTTCAGGTGCTGTGGAAACAATCTTCCTCTTAAATGACTCACACTCTCATGTGGGCAGATAAGCAGAGAGGGCACACACAGTGCGTAGTGTATGACACAGCACACACGATGCTCTAGGAGTACATAGCAGCAGATAAACACAGTTAAACAAAGACATTCACTGGGGAGGATCAGGGAATGTTTCTCCAAGAAAGTCACATCTAACCTGAGCCAAGAGAAGAGGGGAAAGAAGATTTCTGGTAAATGAGAGAATATGTGGAAAAACTCAGAGGCATGAGAGAACATGACCTGTCAAAATAAAGGCAGCTCAACACGATCGTAGCATGGAATGAGAGATGAGGCCTTGCTACCTCTCGCTCTTTACTGAATCACAGGGCTCTTCTGAGCCAGTTTAATCAGTTTTCTGAAGAAAACAAAGAGCCACCAAAAAGCTCATGCAGTATCACATTATGATCACACAGATCTTATATATGTATATAGTCAGAGTTGCTCAGTGGAATTTGATTAACCAGTTGAATTTCTTTGTAAATATATTTGAAGTTATCTACTGCTTTTGGAAAGAAAATAATTGATGATAGGTTCATTATAGCCTTTCAAACAATTATCTAACATCTAGGTCAAAGCCTAAAAAACTAGACAACCTATTTTTTGTACTTTGGTGGTTTTAGTTGAAGATGTTACTCTTATGTCAAGGGATTCATTTTTTTTTAAAGTTTCCATGACAGTGTCAATTGATGCCCTTAATGTATTTTCACTACAGAAACTGAAGGTTTGAATTTGACACTCAATAGTCTTTAGGTGATGTTCAAAATAATGAGATTTGAATTTTTATGTTTTTGGGGTACACATATCTTTTATTTATTTATTTTAGTTGGCAAATAAAAATTGTACATATTTATGGTATACAACATGATGTTTTGATACACACACACACACACACACACACACACACACACATTGTGAAATGGCTAAATCAAGCTTATTAACATATCTATTACCTCCACATACATATCCTTTTTTTTGTGATGAGCGCACTTAAAATCTACTCTCAGCAATTTTCAAGTATATACTACATTGTTATTAACTGTAGTCTCCATGTTTTACAATAAATCTCTTGAATTTATTTCTCCTGTCCAACTAAAATTTTGTATCTTTTAACCAACATCTCCCAAATGCTCCTCCCCCTTCCTTCTCCAACACCTGGTCACCACCAGGTGTCTATTCTGTGCTTCTGTGAGTTTTTTAGATTCCACATATAAGTGAGATTATGCAGTATTTGTCTCTATGTCTGGCTTATTTCTATTATTCTGAAAAATCACTGGTATGTCTTGTGTCTAAAATAGTGCCAAGCATGCAGTAGACATTCAGAATTTTCCTTGAGTGCAAGAATGATTATAAAAAGTCCAGAGGCTCTTCACTTTTAAGATGCATTTAATACTGAGTTACAATAATCATAATAAATTATGGTAGCTAATATTTATGGAGTGCCAACATATGCCAAGCACTATTTTTAGAGCTCTTGCATATATTACATCATTTAATCTTCCTAACCATTTTATGAAGTACTTTTCTATCCTTTACTTATGGTTGAGGAAATTGAGGCACATGTAGGTTAGGGGACTTGCTAGGGCCTTATAGGTAATAAGTGATGAAATTAGAATTTTAACCCAGGCAGCTAGACTCAGATCCTTGTCTCTTAACCTTACACTGTACATGAGGAATGAAAGGCAGTGGATTGACAACCTTGGAGAGCTATTGCATAAGGCAAATAAGCAACAAACCAGAACTGTAGCCCAGTGAAATATTAAAGAGATGATTTGATCCTCTGATCCCAAAAGAGATGTGTCATATTTTCTGCCCAAATAGTTTATATCTTTCACATTATTTACAGCTTCTTTTCTAATGGCTTTGCTTTTAATACATTGCATATGTTCATTGTTTCTTTTTAAAGCTTTTCTGGAAACGTCACTTAGTTCATTTTAGGGAAGCTTTGAAAACATCAATCTGCTTTCTCAATACAACTAATTATTATTAATAATACCATTGCTAAAGAATTTATTTTTCAAATGAGAACTCAAAATAATGAACTGTCTCTTGTACAACTTCTCTGGCATAAATGATCATTTATCTTCAAAAAGAACAAATGAGTTTTCATGAAAGCAAATTTCCAAAATATACACGCGGGAAAGATCCCGTAGTCATGGCTCGATGGCTTGCTGCTGCTGTTGAGTGTGGCCTCCTATGTGATGCTTTTCATCTTTTGTTTACTTTTGGTTTCAACTTGAACATTAATGATTTTTGTTTTTCCAGACTATTACAGAAAAACACAAACTAAATGTACCTGAGACGATGACTGAGGTTCTTGATGTTTCTGATGAAGAGGGTAAGACTTCTATTCAATCTTCTATGACACCTGTCATGTTCTTACACAAGGGCAAATTACCCTTTTTTTCAGAGACCAAGCTGGTTATGTGGATGACAGAATCTTAACATTTAAAGTCACTTTTTCACCTTTGTTTCAATACATTTACTTTTGCCATGGCAGCGGGGGCCGGGGGCAGTTCTGATTAGTATATTTGTTTCTGGTATTATTTCTTTTTCCTAGCATTAAAATTAATGGCTATTAAATAATATGACTGGAAAAGGGGAAAAACTGGAAACTGGCCATGTGTTAAAATAGCTATATGATAACACAATTGTTATTAAAATATGTTTGAATTATGTTAAAAAATCTTTTTTTATTCAAATGACTTTAAGTAAAGACTTTAAAGTATACTCCATCAATGAGTGTTCTTCAATTGAGAAATCTCTGTATTCTGGTTGGTTCATATGTACAGAATATATTTTAAGCCCAGAGGAGAAGAGCCTTATAGAAGGTTTAAAAATAGTACAGCAGGAAGTAGTATAAATTCCACAGAAGAATGTATTATTTAAGTCAGAAAATATCCCCCCTATAATTTTAGAGTTGATGAAAAATGATCTCAGGCAATGGCTTCCTAAGTCCTGGGAAGCCTGCTTTCCAAAAAGGAGCAGTGGGGACTGCCTGGAGTGGGTGTGTGACATTGGGCTAGAGCTGGAGATGGGCCAGCTGGAGGGTGTCCGGCTCCCTATCTCTACTTCAACTAGAGTAGCTGACTTTTCTTCATTTTGTATTTTGAACTTCCATGTAATAATCCACTTGGATAAAAAAATGTGCTACTAAAAAATCATGAAAGCAGCATATAAAATTTGCAAGCATTTCTTTATGAGAAGATAGAAAAAAGAAAGAAAAAAAATCACGCAACCAAGTTTCAATAGTTCAGCTATTGGTCCAATGAACATGATTGAAAAATTACCACCATATATGTACATGAAAATGTATGTTTGAAAAATTATTGCTATTAAGAATGGCACTAGGTTTAATACTCATTGCTTTTATACAGAGAAATATTAAAGATGTTTCTTTAGGTTCTTTAAGATAAAATCATAAGATAAAACTTTACATTGAGATGTCCTTATTTAGAACCAACTTGTTGAATCACCTATTGGTAGTATGTATTGAGTTTTCTCAGCTTTTATAAAAATTTATGACAAGAATGAACAAATGTTGGATCAATGTAGTATTTTGAGTAAATTCAAAGGTATTCCCAAGGCCAGCAGTTCCAAATATTTAGTATAATTTTGTGTTCTATCTTAATACTTGCCAACTAGTTCTCAGCATTCCTATATGCATATCATATTTTGTTTTGTGGGATCATCTTTATTATCTTTACTTGTATGTTGAACAGCTCTTAAACAGTTTGGTGACCACTTTATTGATGGGGAGGCACTTAGTGATTCAGGTACCCTTAGAGGATATTTTTGGAGTGAAAGCTTTTCTTTGCTTTTGATTTTTCTTAACTGGATAGAACAACTTGTTTAAATCTGTGTGCCTAATACTAATCTGTTTCTTTTGAAATAGCATGTGTAATATGAGTGGAATTGTATATGTGTGCATTTGAGTGTGTGGATTTTATTAACTTAGAAGCCTAAAGTCATGAATTGTTTGTACTGTTAATGATTTTGCAACTATTATTGAGAACTGCTAACATAATTATATAATCTAATGAACATTATATAAATATTTTTCCACAACTATTATCTTTTCTTAGAATATAAATTTAGAGAAAAGTAATTCTTTTGTTAGTTGACATTGAGCTAGTGTGAACATGACAATAACTAAGTTAGACCACTTGAAATTAATGCAGTTTATATCACTCCCTTGGTTGATGATATATTTTAGGTGTGATTAAAAATATATTAATAGTTATGTGATTTTTAATATAGCTAAGAATAGAAATAAAGTAACATTTAAAAATTATTTAGGGTGAATTTTGCATATAAGGAAAAATGAGTAATGTAAGATATTTTATCTAGTAAGAGGTTTCCAAAGTACACGTGGTACCACTTTAAGCAACTCTATTACATGAAAATTTAAATTTATAAATCAGATAAATTGAATAGTGATTATTTAATTTAAAAATAGCCCTTTATTTACAAAATAATTGCTGGAGAATTCCATTAGTTAATACATTTAAAGTATTTAATATTGAGTTATAAACGAAATTTATAAAAAATAGCCTCGGCCGGGCGCGGTGGCTCACGCCTGTAATCCCAGCACTTTGGGAGGCCGAGGCGGGCGGATCACGAGGTCAGGAGATCGAGACCATCCCGGCTAAAACGGTGAAACCCCGTCTCTACTAAAAATACAAAAAATTAGCCGGGCGTAGTGGCGGGCGCCTGTAGTCCCAGCTACTTGGGAGGCTGAGGCAGGAGAATGGCGTGAACCCGGGAGGCGGAGCTTGCAGTGAGCCGAGATCCCGCCACTGCACTCCAGCCTGGGCGACAGAGCGAGACTCCGTCTCAAAAAAAAAAAAAAAAAAAATAGCCTCTCAGATCTGCCTATTGCATTAAATGAGATAAGTTATAACATTCTGTACTTTCATTATTAAAAATGTTATATATTAAATATTACTGGTGATAAGAACTCTTGGTTTGTGAAGAATATTGGTGAATGACCAAGATTATCTTTTGTGGCAAGAGAAGTCTATTTTTAGAAATAGCCAAAACTTAATGATATTTCTTTCCCCGAGGAAAATTCAAGTTGAATAATTTTCATGTAAAGGATCTATTTGAGTATTGATAAGTAACTTTTTCATGGAAAAAATTAGTGTGAAGGAAATTAGCTGGTTGACATTGCCAATGCCAACACTTTAATGTTTTGTGAGGTTAATATGTTTTTATGAAACCTGCTATCATCCACGTGGACACAATGCAGCCACATGTATTTGAAAATTATTAGCTAATCCCTGTTTTCTCTACAGTCTATTGTTTTATTAGTAGTAATAGTGTATTGACACCCAAAAAGAGTATTCAAACTCTTGTCATTAAGAATGGCACTATGTTTAATACTAATAGCTTTTAAGGAGAAATATTAAGGATGTTTCTTTAGGTTCTTCAAGATAAAATCATAAGGTAAGACTTTACATTGAGATGTCCTTACATTGAGATATCCTATCAGGCTAATTTGCTGTATACACATTAAAGTAATCCATAATATCCACTCATGAATCCAATTAACAAATAATGAATATGATGTTATTGTGTTTCGGAAAGCTCTATAACTGATGCCACAGTGGTCAAAGGTGAGCATGAGGCACACCTTTAGGAAGCCTATATGGAGAAATAATGTATATATTAAAAGAAGTATAATGTAAGGCACTATGTTGTCAGTTTTTCATATCCACTTGGGGAGATCAGGAGCTAGATATACCTAACACAGTCTCATGAACGTGCTAAGAGATGAGAGATTAATAACAGGGCACATAGATTTTAGGGATTAGATAAGGAACAGTATGGGAAAGTCTTGAGATAGGAAAGTACAAGAGAGAGACACAGAGTGGCAGAATCCTCCAGTCATTTGGTCTGCTGATGCATAAAAACATACCAGGCTCAGTTGTGGACTGTTTGAATTCTTAACTGAAAGGGAAACACGATACCTTAAAGATTTCAATTAATGATGAAAACATTTAAAACTGTTTTTACAAAGATTTAACCAGCAGTGGTACATAGAAAAAGTTTATTGAGAAGAACCTGGAAGGAAGCAGAAATCTAAGAAAAGAGAAAGCATTTACTAAATCTCTATAATGCTAGGTACATGTCTCATTTAATCCTTATACCATCCCTGTGACACAGGCTGTGGATATCATTCCACATATATATATATATTTTCAGTTAAGGAAAGGCTTATTTTTGGAGAATGAGGCCTAGAGACATTAAGTAGTTTGTTCAATAGCACGCAGCTAGTAAGTGGTGGGTGTGGAATCAAAACCTAGTATGAAAACTATTGTAATAGCACAGCCATGATATAAATAACATCCTTATGGAGGAATATGGCAGCGAAATGCAAGGAAAAGACAGAAATGGGAATTCAGTCTAACAGAATTATAGCATCCAGATTTAACCAAAGATGTGAAGGTAATCGTCTAAGTCTTTGTAGGATCGTGAGTTGATCCCTGTCTTCGCTGACTTGGCTTCCCAGCCATAAATGATGAGGTGGGGCTCAGAGATTTTGGCATCTGTATAACCAAAATGCCCATAGGAATGTGACTCATGTATGCCTTATTCTCATGGATTCTTGAGTGGGTGGCTTGTCCATATATCTCTGCTAGTACTCTGGAATGATGTATACTAGTAATCAAGAGAACTCCAGACTGGCTGAATGTTGGGATGAAATATAGAGGCGCCTCCTCCTTTGAAACACTCACTTCTGTTGTGAACACTTAACACTTAGTGGGGCTCTTCATCTCAGGTTTTAGCCCTTTTTCCATGTCTCAGCAGGAATAATGCTTGCTTGAGAGGGAGTGGGTTCCGTAACGTTTCAGAGAATCTCCTTGTCAGCATCATGAGGGGTTGTCAGGAAGGGGAGCCATTCCACCTTTTTTTTTTTTTTTTTTTTTGTGATGGAGTCTCACTCTGTCGCCCAGGCTGGAGTGCAGTGGTGTGATCTTAGCTCACTGCAACCTCCATCTCCCGGGTTCTCCTGCCTTTAGCTCCCAGAGTAGCTGTGACTACAGGTGTATGCCACCATGCTAATTTTTGTATTTTTAGTAGAGACTGGTTTTCACCATTTTGGCCAGGCTGCTCTCGAACTCCTGACCTCAGGGAATTCACCTTACTTGGCCTGCCAAAGTGCTGGGATTACAGGCGTGAGTCACCACGCCCGGCCGCCGTTCCACTTTAAGTTATTCCCATGCTATTGTCACCCGTGTCCTACAGGGGTTAAATATACCACTCACTATCACTGAGGAATCTTGTGTTTTCCGGGTATCAAAACATCAATTGTACATAAAAAGCCTGCAGTACACTGATGCTTTCCAGTTAGTAGAAAACAGTTTTCACGAAATTGCTTGGAAACATTGGACAATAAAACAACAAGAAAAAGCCAAGTCATAAACCTGGGAATCATCATTCTATTAAGTGAGTAAATAGGTAACAATCGGAAGGAAGTTATTCCAAGTATAGGAAATAATAAAGAAATTCATTTTAGGTTTGTTCTATAATGTAAAAACTAAAGGTTGCTTTTAGTTTGGTTTTGTTTTCACATTGAATAAGTAAGTTGAAAAAAAGAAAGTGTATAATGATTCTCTTAAAGCTGTCTGAGTTGTACAAAATTCTTTCCAAGTCTAATGGCACTCTATTCAAACAAATAAGAGCTAAAGCTTTTAATCTGAATATTATTTTAAATCATCTTTTCTCCCCCCTTGGCTTGGGCAAGGAAGTAGTCGTGCTATTTGCTCATGTAGGGAATTTTCAAAGAGAAGCACATTGACAAGGGGAGAGGTAAAGAAGATGAGTTCTGCTGTGGACATGCTAAATCTGAGATGCTTATAGAAAATTTAGGTGGAGAAGTCCAGAAGGCAATTGGAATATAGATGCAAAATTCATGAGAGAGGTCTGGGACCAATACAGATCTGTGTATTGTTAGTGGACCTCTAAGTCCATGTGATAATATGTGAAATAAGAAGAAAAGGCAGATGGAAAATATCAACATTTAAGAGAAGTAGAGACAGGGAAGAAAGACTCAAAAATATAGGGGGAAGACCAGGAGAGATTTGTGTCAGAGAAATTAAGGAGAATAGTTTTACAAAGAAGAAATCACTTCTCAGCCACTGATTAATTGCTGAAATTAGCAAGCATCTGCTTGATAAGTTTGATTGTTAACAAACAGGAGTCAGAGTGTGAAATAAAGAAGGTCTAAGAGTTTGGGAAAGAAGCTACCATATTTCAGAGATGGCAGAAATATGGATGTTTTATCCATGGAAGGGGAAAGACCTCCATAGAATCTGTAACAGAGGAGAGAAGGTTGAAGATGAAGGGCCTAGCAGACAATGTATCTAGGAAGTTGGGAGGGGATGAGGCTTTGGAGGCAGGGATGGGCCAGCTTTACACTAGCAGAAATCTTCTCACCCACCAAGGGAAGCAAGAATATGAGTGTTATTTCAGGGGCTCATTAAATACATTTAAAGCTTTGATTTGTATGCAGAATTTTCCAGTTATAGACCAACCTGGGTAATTTTTTTCAAAGTGATTTTTCACATTCTGTTAATTTCTACTTGCTTTCACTTTCCATCTTTCACTGCTGGTATGTATTACTGAATAGCATGATTTATATACATCTAACTGTCTTCGAGAGAAATTTTATATAGCACTGACAAGATTAGTCCCCAGAGAGGTGGCTTTCCAGCTAATGCCAACACTGGGATAGGATTTAGACACTGCTTTCAGCATTTAGGGACTTTGCTTCTTTGGGTCATTTCTCTCTGAGACATAATCAAGACATTGACTATATACCTAGGGCCACCCCAGGTGTATATGAAAATGCTAAAAATTCACTTTAAGTAGCACTGAACCTAGCAGCAGCCTTAGGCAGATAGCATCATAACAAAACCATCAAAATGCACAAAATAAGGGAGAATGTAAAGGACATTCACTTAGGAACTCAGCGTAATCAGAGGTGGTTTTTTTGTTTGTTTGTTTGCTTGTTTGTTTTTTGTTTTTTTGAGACAGGGTCTTACTCTGTTGCCCAGGCTGTAGTGCAGTGGTGCGATCATGGCTCACTGTAGCCTCGACTTCCTGGGCTCAAGCGATTCTCCCACTTCAGCCTCCCAAGTAGCTGGGAATACAGGTGCATGACACCATGACCTGCTAATTTGAAAAAAATTTTTAGTAGAGATGAGGTCTAGGTGTTACTCAGGCTGGTTTCAAACTTCTGAGCTCAAGCAATCCTCCTGCCTCGGCCTCCCAAAGTGCTGGGATTACAGGTGTGAACCACTGTACCTGGCCAATCAGAAGTTTTAAATTTTTGTCTTGTCACCAGAGTCATAAAATTTTGATATATTTGATTAAAAATATATTCTTCAAATGTCTTTCTATTTTCTAATAAGATTCTATTCACACGAGAGAGGAAGGCTGGGTTCCTGTGGTTGATTTGCATGTTCTACCTGATCAAATGCTGTGTCTTGCTCCTTCAGATGTAGAGTCATTCCAGCCAGACTCTTCTTTTATCTTTACCTTTCTCACCTTTTCTTTCTTCACCCTTATAAACCTTCCTCACCCTACCAAGGTGTAACAAGAGGGAAAGATAAATGGGAGAAATAAGAAAATTTGAAATGTAGGACCCATTTTATTAAGGAGTTTTGTGGATTTTTAAGGACCAAGAAGTTAAAGCTTATTTTGAGTTGTATTTATTCCCTGTGACCATCTTGGCTGCTGAGAGACAGCGGTGAGAACTGGCAAATTAGGAGAAGCAAGATGAAATGCAAAAGCAAACAGACTCTGAGGAGGGACAGGATGCTCGAACCTAAGTAGTATTCAGAATTTGGTGCTAGAATTTTGGGGAGTAGGGGTGGGGTAGAAGACTGGGGGAAAGAAAGAGTATATAAGCAGACTTTTTTTTTTTTAGATGAGTCTCACTCTGTCACCCAGGCTGGAGTGCAGTGGTGCAATCTCGGCTCACTGCAACCTTCATCTCCTGGGTTCAAGCAATTCTCCTGCCTCAGCCTCCCAAGTAGCTGGGACTACAGGCATGTGCCACCACGCCCAGCTAATTTTTGTATTTTTAGTAGAGACAGGGTTTCACTATATTGGTCAGGCTGGTCTTGAACTCCTGACCTCAGGTGATCCACCTGCCTCAGCCTCCCAAAGGGTTGGGATTACAGGCATGAGCCACTGCAGCCAGCCAACTTTTAGTTTTTAAATAATCTTTTTGGCTTTTTGCAAGGGATCCATAATATGCAGCTTGCACTGTGCTTGTATTATGTGACAGATTCTGTATTAAACCATCCCCTTCACCTTTTCATGAATAAGAATAGATGTAGTCTCCTGAAATGTTAATAAAACTCATATTTTTTTCTGAAAGTAATGTAGGCTTAATCCTAAAGCAGACTATGCCTGTGTTTTGATAAATCTATAATTAGAATTCATCTTAGAAGTTTTTTCTCCTAGAAGTAAACAACAAGGGATATCCAAACTTAATATTAAAAGAATTAAAATTCAAGTGATTACTTCTTCTTGGTAAGTACTAAGAAAATGAATCAAATGTTGTTTCTCTAAGTTTTAGCACTGTATAGTTGTTTGCTGGTGTTCTGTGTTCTAGTGTGCAGTGCAGTTTCATCAAGGTCAAGGTAATGATGTTGATGCATTTCACAATCATGACCATATGTTGTAGTTGATATTACATTCAAGAAATAATCCTGCTTCTTCCTCTGATTGTTTCAAGGTGATGACACAATGACTGGTGATGGGGGAGAATACCTTAGGCCTGAGGACCTAAAAGAACTGGGTGATGACTCACTACCCAGCAGTCAGTTCCTGGATGGTATGAATTACCTGCGATACAGCTTGGAGGGAGGACGATCTGACAGGTATCTCATAAAACTTATAATTGATGTCAGCCAGAAGTATGTGCAACATATTTTTTATGATGATGATAAAAATGTAGATGCAATTATTGAGCATTTAATAGGTACCTTATTAATCTCAGCAGTTAGCATGTTATGTTTTTCCATTGTCTAACAACTTTAAGATATGCCCATTTTAAAGAACAGAAAACTGAGGCCTAGAAAGATCAAATAACTTGGTAAAATCAAACAACTAGTAAGAAGCAAAACCATCATAAATAAGAGTTCTCATCATTTAAATGTGGCGTTTTTCATCACTGGCCACTTTTTCCTCAAATTAAAAGGACAATTTTGCCTTATAGACATTCTTACTGAGCGGCATCACAGACACTTTGGATACTCTTCTGCCCCCACTTTTTTGTTAGTAACATAATTTCTGTGAATAAAGTATGTTGTGAGGCTGAATTAAAAAGAAATACATTCAGAACAAAACTGCCTGGAACTGACTTTTTCATGAAAAAGAATCCGAACAGAATCCCACGAGAGCCTGGATACAAGAAACAATCGGAGCAAAATCTGAGGGAGCCCAGTGTTAATAGGCAAATCTGGGAGGTTTATATAATATTCTGAGATATATGATCAGTGCTACTTTTTGTTATTATTAACTAGTACAACTGGCACTTGTTATTTTTTTATGCAAGTTAGGTAATGACATTCTGTGGTTCCTCATTGAAATTATGACTGATAAGTTGGGCCATGAATATGGATGTCATAGCTGGGTGCAGTGGCTGGGTGCTGAGACCTGTAGTCTCAGCTACTTGGGAGGCTGAGTTGGAGGATCCCTTGAGCCCCAGAATTCAAGTCCAGGCTGGGCAACATAGCAAGACACTGTCTCTTGAGACAGAAAAAAAAAAAAAGAAAAGAAAAGAAAGTTTGTCCACGTAGTGTAATGTGTTCTGCTAATCAATAATCTCAGGTTTATAGTTTTAAAGTTGGCACTATTGTAAGCTATTTTATGAATATCCAGCATAGAGTCTAAGAAATAAATACCTTAAAGTCTAAGTGAATAATTAGCAAAAACAAACTTTTCTTGGGCTTTTTCCTTGAGCACCAATGCCCCCTTCCACTATCTTTTTTTTTTTCTTTAGCAAGATAGGCTTGTTAACTTCATAGTCTAATGGGATGGGAGAGGGCATAAGCTAGTGGTACACATAGAGTGCCACTGAAGCCCTGAGGCTCTAGCTTCCTGGAGCAGATGAAACCAAACTGAGACCAAATAATGAGTAACAATGGTGAGGAAAAGTGGGGAGGGCATTTGAAGCCTTAACAAGGTCTTGAGCAAAGGCTCGCAGGGTGTATGAGAAAAAAGGGAATGCAGTGTTGCTGGAGTGTAAGTGTGGAGGACGGGAATTATATTTGCATAGCAGGGGGATCCTTCTGCCAGTGAGAAAGAGGATGAATTTTAAAGGAGAGTTTCAAAGGGCTAAACCTGGAGATTGCAGCCACTCTGAGAAGCAATTGTTCGTGTATTAACTGCAGGTGTCATGAGAGGACTAGCACTCTAACCTTGGTGATAGTCATGGAGAGAATTTCAGAAATAAAAAATTTGAGAGTTTTTTGAGACATGTGTAGGAGGCAAAACTAGTCAGATTTCATGATGAATTTCATGATTTAGGTGAGGAAGGGGAAGGAGATTAAATTGAGTCCTTGGCTTCAATAACTTAGATAAAGGGTGCTCCCAGAAGGAGGAGCCCCTCTGGAGTTCCATAAGCTGTCTTGATACATTGGTAGATTTGGACCTTATACTCTGAGATTCTTAAAAGATTTCAAATTTGAATAAAGTGTAATGTTCATGGCATTGCACAAATTGATGATAATCTATGAACAGTCTTATTACTGTCAACCATAAAGCTTCTATTTTTTGCATGGTCTCCCTTATTAAGAATAAGTACTTGATTTGATCTGTTTTTCTTCTTTCAAAGTACTTAGGTTGAGGAAGAATTTAGAATAATACTTTCTATAAAACAGGATGGATGGCTTGAATGCTCCTGCTTAAATCCAATACTTTTCAGCACATAAGGTCAGGGGACATGAAACAAACAAGACATACTGTGTTCTCCAGGTCTCCACTTGCATTTCTAGATCACTAGATGTATTCACCATTTCCAAAATAGAGTGACAGACAGCATCTCATTTTCATGGTCTTCTTTTATTTTTAATTTTGCTTAGGCAATTCAATATAAGTTACCTTTTCTCAGTGACCATTTTTTCCTTTGCATTATTTCTTTATCTGAATTGCTTTCACTAGCACCATGCCCAGGTAGGTATTAACAGAGCATGGAAACAAGCCCTTCCTAGATTTATCCACATTTCCCTGCTCACTGCTAAACCTGCGTGTGTGTGTTGCCGGGGCGGGGGGTGAGGGGGAGCGGTGGGGGAGTGGGAGGGGGTGCTTATATTCTAGAATTATGGATTTATTCTAAAATAAATATTTTTATGTATTGAACTGAATAACTAGCTGAGCTAGAAGAGGTGAATATATTATTAAAATGTAAATCTGTGACATGACCCAGGTATTGCTTTGTTTCAACAATCACTGCTGCACCTGTGGTTGATAACACATTAGCATGGCTTTCCCCAAACAACCCCAATTAGCCTATGTGTAGTTGGAGAAGATAGAAAAAATATTCTGATGCCTAAAATATGCATAGATATGGAAGAATACAAATACATACAATTTAATGTACATTAAATACAAATACAACCAAGTTATGATTAGTTGGATTTTGCATCTGTTTTATTTTATTGTAGCTTACAAATTAAAAATGCTTTCCAAATTCAATGTAAAATACTAAATAATAATGAACCACAGAAGCTTCTTCATATCTTAAAGCAAATTTATTGAAAATTGTGGATTTCTACTCGTTAAGTTTGCCACTCCATTAATTGAATGTTTAATAAATATTACAGTTTACCAAGATAGTAATTATTATACTTTTCAATAAAATTACACTTTCATACCACCTATTATGTGTCCATAAAGCAGTTGTACCGTAGTAAAATAAAAAATATAAACTAAGACCATAACAAAACCCCTAGTACATCCCCTAGATGAACAGCAAGTAAAACTTTACACTTCTATGGCTATGTTATTATACATTTATTAACTGAATAGCAGAACCATTGACTTCATGAAAAATTGGCAACTGTATTGGAAAATATTTAAACTTGTTTTTAATGTCTTAAATCAGAGTGAACAATTTCTGATCCAAGGGCTTAAATTATTCCAGACCTTTGTCATGCTGGTTATATTATTTTAGTGAGAATAATTCTTTAGTTATTATTATTTTAGAGGGAATATTCTTTTAGAGCGAATAACTTCTCTGGTGTTGGAATAGTCCATCTTTATTTCATTTAAGTAGATTATACGACATCATTTTTAAAAAAGCAGTTAGAAATGATACACATTGATTAAACAACCAATTAGTATTTCAGAAGGCAGTAAGTAAGTAGAGGAGGCTAGAATACAACCCATAGAAAGGTAGAGACACTCCTATATATGGTTTTGACTTATTCATTGTTGCTCCCTCTCTCTGTCCAACTTTTCTCACTCTCTGTGTACATATCCTAATATCTTTCTCTCTCTACTCTAATCAATTTTTTGTGATTATATATCACTTTGTCTCCTTCTTTCTTTTCTTATCCCTCTGTATTTCTTTCCTGTTGGGGTTTTAGGAAAGACAAAAAACACCAACACCTCTCTATTCCTCTCAGTACAAAACCAATTGAGAGATAGACTCAGGTATCAACTAAATGGATATCAAAATTTCACTTGTATGACTGATATACCGATTGCAAAGTGCGACTTTACTTTCATAGCCCAATGGGCTCTTTAATACCACATTCCTGAAATAGACAGACTTGTCTACTTAGCCATAGTCACTC